>NW_009646195.1:0-166200 GCF_000001405.40 Homo sapiens
ACACACACACACACACACAAAAGAGCCTTCTATAGGAAGAAGATGCCATCTAGAACTTTCATAGCTAGAGAGAAGTCAATGCCTGGCTTCAGTGCTTCAAAGGACAGGCCGACTCTCTTGTTAGGGGCTAATGCAGTTGGCAACTTGAATTTGAAGCCAGTGCTCATTGACCATTCTGGGGAAAATCTCAAGGACTTTAAAACTTATGCCGAATCCACTCTTGCTGTCCTCTATAAATGGGAAAACACAGCCTGGATGACAACACATCTGTTTACAGCATGGTTTATGGAATACTTTAGGCCCACTGTTGAGACCTACTTCTTAGGAAAAAGATTTCTTTTAAAATATTACTGCTCATTGACAATGCACATGATCACCCAAGAGCTCTGATGGAGATGTACAAGATTAATATGATTTTCATGCCTGCTAACACAACATCCATTCTGCAGCCCATGGATCAGGGAGTAATTTTGACTTTCAAGTCTTATTATTTTAAGAAATACATTTTAGGCTGGGTGCAGTGGCTCACACCTGTAATCCAAGCACTTTGGGAGGCTGAGGCAGGTGGATCACCTGAGGTTGGGAGTTCAAGACCAGTCTGACCAACATGGAGAAACCCCATCTCTACTAAAAGTACAAAATTAGCTGGGCGTGGTGGCACGTGCCTGTAATCCCAGCTACTTGGGAGGCTGAGGCAGGAGACTCGCTTGAACCTGGGAGGTGGAGGTTGCAGTGAGCCGAGATCATGCCATTGCACTCCAGACTGGGCAAGAAGAGTGAAACTCCATCTCAAAAAAAAAAAAAAGAAAGAGATACATTTTAAGGCCGGGTGCAGCGGCTCACACCTGTAATCCCAGCACTTTGAAAGGCCGAGGCAGGTGGATTACCTGAGGTCAGGAGTTCGAGACCAGCCTGACCAATATGATGAAACCCTGTCTCAAAACAAAACAAAAAACAAAGTGTATGTCCTTGGCCAAATCACTTGGCCTCTCTGTGCCTTACTTTTCTTTTTCTTTTTTCTGAGACAGAGTCTCGCTCTGTTGCCCAGGCTGGAGTGCAGTGGCCCGATCTCGGCTCACCGCAGCCTCCACCTCCCGGGTTCAAGCAGTTCTCCTATCTCAGCCTCCCAAGTAGCTGGGACTACAGGTGCGTGCCACCACACCCGGCAATTTTTTTTTTAATTTTTAGTAGAGATGGGGTTTCACCATGTTAGCCAGGATGGTCTCGATCTCCTGACCTTGTGATCTGCCCACCTCGGCCTCCCAAAGTGCTGGGATTACCGGTGTGAGCCACCGTGCCCAGCCTGTGCTTCACGTTTCTTATCTGTAACACAGGGGTAATTATAGCACTTACTTTACAGGATTGTCGCGAGGGCTAAATAAGCAAGGTCAGGACTAGGGGGAGGTTAATGAGGTACAAAACCTCTTAAAGTACAAAATTTAAGGAGGCATCAAAAATCTCAATAATCAAGACAATAACTTTTTTTTTCATGTTTTTAAGAAAGAGGCTAGGCATGGTGGCTCACGCTTACCTGGGCACTTTGGGAGGCTGAGGAGGGCAGACAACTTGAGCCCAGGAGTTTGAGACCAGCTTGGGCAACATGGCAAACTCTGTCTCTACAAAAAATACAAAAATTACCCGGACATGGTGGTGCGTGCCTGTAGTCCCAGCTACTAGGGAGGCTGAGGTGGGAGGATTGCTTGAGCCTGGGAAGTCGAAGCTCCAGTGAGCCATGAGCATGCTACTGCACTCTAGCATGGGAGACAGAGTAACCGTGTCTCAAAAAAAAAAAAAAAAAACTCCTTGAGCCCAGGAGTTTGACACCAGCCTGGGCAACATAGCAAGACCCTGTCTCTACAAAAATAAAAATTAAGGCCAGGCATGGTGGCTCACACCTGTAATCCCAGCACTTTGGGAGGCCGAGGCGGGCAGATCACGAGATCTAGTTGTTCGAGACCAGCCTGGCCAACATGGCAAAACCCCGTCTCTACTAAAAATACAAAAAATTAGCTGAGCTGGGTGTGGTGGCACGCCCTTGTAGTCCCAGTTACTCAGGAGGCTGAGGCAGGAGAATTGCTTGAACCTGGGAGGCAGAGGTTGCAGTGAGCCGAGATCGTACCACTGCACTCTAGCCTGGGCGACAGAGTGAGACTCTGTCTCAAAAAACAAAAAGTAGTCAGATGTGGTGGTAAATGCCTGTAGTACTAGCTCCTTGGTAGGCTGAGATGGGAGAATCACTTGGGCCCAGGAGTTTGAGGCTGCAGTGAGCTCCACTGCACTTTAGCCTGGGTGACAGCGCAAGACCTGTGTCCAAAATAAATAAATAAATAAAATGATGATTATGATGGATAACATAATGATGTAAGCCACTGTGGGTCCTCTTCTGTCTTCAGGTCCATGGTGCACCTAGTATATTTGACACACAAAGAGAATCATATTTTAACCTCCATATGTCAGAATTTTTATCAATAACAATTATGAAATAAAACAAATAATCATGGTCAGAAAGTAAACACAGTGAAAATTTTATTTTTTATTTTATTTTATTTTTTTGAGACGGAATCTCGCTCTGTTGCCTGGGCTGGAGTGCACTGGTGTGATCTTGGCTCACTGCAAGCTCCACCTCCCAGGTTCATGCCATTCTCCTGCCTCAACCTCCCGAGTAGCTGGGACTACACGCACCCGCCACCACGCCCGGCTAATTTTTTGTATTTTTAGTAGAGATGGGGTTTCACCGTGTTAGTCAGGATGGTCTCGATCTCCCGGCCTCGTGATCCACCCGCCTCAGCCTCCCAAAGTGCTAGGATTACAGGCATGAGCCACCGTGCCCAGCTTTTCCCTTGTTTTTATAGTTACTGTGCTATCACTGTTGATTTCAAATTTGTTGTTTAAATGCAAGGATGTGGAGACATGAACTACTCCCAAAGTGAGCTCCCATGATTTCGACCCACTGGGAACTCTCAAACTAAAGGTGTGTAGCTGACTCCCTGTGTGCTGGGGGCCAAGCGTATAACTCAGGAGTTATCCAAATTAGCTTCCATGTAGAATATATTATTTATTAAAGTTTAGGTAATAAAAATATATGAATCTGCAGCTTACATATATTCCTAAAACTTATAGCAGTCCCAGTGCTTTGGGAGGCCGAGGTGGGAGGATCCCTTGAGCCCAGGAATTCGAGGCTGCAGTGAGCTGTGATTGTGCCATTGCCCTTCAGCCTGGCTGACAGAGGGAAACTCTGTCTCTTAAAAAAAAAAAAAACAAAAAAAGAACAAAAAACAAAAACCTCACAGCAATCACAACAATTAGTACTTTGACCAACAGAGGGATCTCTTTGGGAAGGATGATTTTATCACTGACATTATTTAGAATTGCCAAGCCATGGTGATAGTAAAAAGCAGACCTACCCAGTTTCATTGATGTTTTTATTTTATCATTTTTTTTACTTTTTTTGTAGAGGTGAGGTTTCACCATGTTGCCCAGGCTGGTCTTGAACTCCTGGGCTCAAGCAATCCACCTGTCTCAGCCTCCCAAAGTGCTGGGAGTACAGGCGTGAGCCATGGCAACTGGCCTCACTAATGTTTTTAAATTCTCTACAGACAAAGCATGCCTTATTTCTTGCACATGGCAGACTCACTACCACCCTTACCTGATTCACCTCTGCCTCAGGCTACCAGTTTCCCATCTTTGGCCAAGACAAAGGCCCCTTCCAAAGCTGACAACATTCCACTATTTTTTTTTTTTTTTGAGATGGAGTCTCGCCCTGTCACCTAGGCTGGAGTGCAATGGCGCAATCTCAGCTCACTGCAACCTCTACCTCCTGGGTTCAAGCCATTTTCCTGCCCCAGCCTCCCGAGTAGCTGGGATTGCAGGCGCGTGCCACCACGCCCCGCAAATTTTTTGTATCTTTAGTAGAGACAGGGTTTCACCATGTTGGCCAGGCTGGTCTCGAACTCCTGACCTTGTGATCCGCCCACCTCGGCCTCCCAAAGTGCTGGGATTACAGGCGTGAGCCACTGCGCCCAGCCCTTCTTCTTCTTTTTTTTTTTGAGATGGAGTGTTGCTCTGTCACTCAGGCTGGAGTGCAGTGGCGTGAATTTTTGTCTCCCGGTTTCAAGCGATTCTCCTGCCTCAGCCTCCTGAGTAGCTGGGATTATAGGCATGCACCATGACGCCCAGCTAATTTTTGGTGGGAGTTTTAGTGGAGACAGGGTTTCACCATGTTGGCCAGGCTGGTCTCAAACTCCTGACCTCAAGTGATCCATCTGCCTCGGTCTTCCAAAGTGCTGGGATTACAGGCATGAGCCACTGCGCCTGGCCAACTTTCTTTTATTAATTCTTTCTTTTTTTAAAAAGAGACAAAGACTGCCTCTAAATCCACTCTTTCTAATTTTGGCTCCACAAGCTATTTCCAGCCAATGACCCTGGGTAAGTCAGTTCATCTTTTTAAGTCTGTTTTCTCATCTGGAAATGGAAGTAACAATCCCTACCCATACCTTACCCCTGTGAGGGTTCCATGAAGCAGTGGGGGAGAAGAGTGTTTAGAAAGAGGAGGGCACCACCCAGGTGGCAGGTGTACACAGATGGCAGGCCTTGACAACAAAGGTGATTATGTTCTTCTGAGCTCACAAGCTGTTCCTGGATCCAGGATCTGAGAGAGGGGAAGGGGATCTGGTGGGTGCTAGACTGCAATCACTGAGAGATTTTTTTCCTTCCAGGAAAAGGCTAGATCCTCTTGGCCAGGAGGCAGGGAACTGATCACCATGACCTAGGCTGCTCTGCTGCTGTATCAGAGCCTGGCTGGATAGAGAACTTCTCTTCCAGGGGAAGGCGGCCAAGGAGCAGGGTACAAAGAAACACTGAAACCCGCTGGTTCTTGTCCTGGGAAGCACCCGGAAAAGAGCTCACCTACTTGTTTAACTGTCTTCCCCAAAGAAAATGTAACTTTTTTTCTTTCTTTTCTTTTCTTTTTCTTTTCTTTTTTTTCTTTCTTTTTTTTTTTTTTTTTTTTTTGAGACAGGGCCTCATTTTGTCTCCCAGGCTGGAGTACAGTGCCATAATCATTGCTCAGTGCAGCCTTAACATCTCAGATTCAAGCTATCCTCCTGCCTCAGCCTCCTGATTAGCCGGTACTACAGGCACAAGGCACCAGGCATTTTTGTATTGTTTGTAGAGATGGGGTCTCACTGTGTTGCCCAGGCTGGTCTCAAACTCCTGGGCTCAAGCAAGCCTGCTTCAATCTCCCAAATTGCTGGAATTACAGGCATTAGCCACTGTGTCTAGCCAGATAGAGCAGGAGTCAACAAACTTTTTGTGGGGGGAGGGGCTCAAACAGCAGAAATTGATTTCTGACAGTTCTGGAGGTTGGGAAATCCAAAATCAAGGTGCTGCCAAGGTTGATTTCATTCTGAGGACTCTTCCCTTGACTTGTCATCAGCCACCATCTTGCTGTGTGCTCACATGACCACATGACCTCTTCTTTGTGAGCTTGAGAGAGAGGGAGTAAGCTATCTGGTGTCTCTTCTTATTAGGGCACTGTCTTAGTCCATCTAGGCTACTACAGCAAAATACTTTACAGTGGGCAATTTATCAAAGACAGAAATCTCTCCGAGTTCTGGAGGCTAGGAAGTCCAGGATCAAAGCTCCAGGAGATTTGGTGTCTAGTGATGGCCAGTTCCTCATACAGAGCACTTTCTATGTGTCCTCACATGGCAGAAAGGCAAGGCAGCTCTCTGGTGCCTCTTTTTTTTTTTTTTTTTTTTTTTAAGACAGAGTTTCCCTCTTTTTGCCCAGGTGATCCGCCTGCCTTAGCCTCCCAAAGTGCTAGGATTACAGGCGTGAGCCACCGCTCTGGTGCCTCTTTTTTTTTTTAATTTTTTTTAAAATTATACTTTAAATTCTGTGCTACATGTGCAGAACATGCAGTTTTGTTACATAGGTATACACATGCCATGGTGGTTTGCTGCGCCCATCAACCTGTCATCTACATTAGGTATTTCTCCTAATGCTGTCCCTCTCCTAACCCCTCACCCCCTGAACAAACTTTTTTCGAAAGAGCCAGCTAGTAAATATTTTAGGCTTTTCAGGCCATATGGTCTCTGTTGCAACTACTCAACTCTGCTGTTGTGGTGAGAAAGCAGCCATAGACGATACGTAAACGGAGCGTGGCTGTGTTCCAATAAAACTTTATTTATGGATGCTACAATATGAATTTCATATAACTTTCACATGTCATGAAATATTCTTCTTTTGACTTTTAAAATGATTTAAAAATCTAAAACCCATTCTTAGCTTGCAAGCATACAAACACAGTAGGCCAGATTTATCATGTGGGCCAGTTTGTGCGCCTCTATCCTAGAGGGCAGAGACTGTCTTCTCCTCTGCTGTATTCCTAGTGCCTAGAACAGTGCCTGGCATGTAGCTGGTGCTCAGTAACTATTTGTTGGTGATCAGCTGCTCCCTCTTCTGCCCCTTTTAACTCCAATTCCCTTCCCAACTCTTCCTGCTACTGTGTCACCTCTGCTGTCGCCTCCTGTCCTCTCTAATGTCAGCAACCAAAGTTGGCCTCACCCCCAGGCTCCAGGTCAGAGGTACCGCTCTGTGGAGGAGCTCACTGCCTAATTCTCTGCCTTGCTCTCCTTGACCCTCTGCAGTCCTGGACCATCCCACCTGCATGCTTCTGTTCCTCCTCTTCCTCTCTGACCACTCCCTCTCTCTTTTTTTTTTTTTTTTTTTTTGCCGATTGCTGTGACTTTATTTTAAAGGGTTTTCAGACTTACAGAAAGGGGCTTTTCAGATGGGGCTGTGTCACTATCAACCATCTTCACTGTGGAGTCCTAGTCACTATGATTTTTGTTTTGTATATCACAAAGATTCATTCAAATTGTCTCCTCTTCTATTCCTTCATAATAGGTTTACATGGTCCGAAAGTACATCCCTCCTTCTCTAGTACATTTCATTCAAACAGATGGCTGCTACTTCTCTATTGTCATTAATCTTTTCATCATCTTCTTATTCTTCTTAGCACAGTTGGGGCATAACATATTATCTTCTGTGCCTGGGGATGGGAAAATGCAGGCAGGTAACAAGAAGAGAGAAATCATCCTCCTGTGAGTGGTAGGCACTCAAGCCTGACCTGCATGAAACTGCAGGCGTACTCAACCCTTTGTGTCTGCCGAGAGAAGTCTGCCATGGACCACACACCACCTGACACCAGCGGCTTGCATCAAAAAGGCCTCAAGAGAAACAGGAATGGAACTTGAATTCACAGCCTCAGGCTCAACAGCTCTTGCAGCAATTCTTGCCCTTGATGCCAACATGGCTCCCTGCGCTGAAGTTATCACTTCGACTGTATTCGTCTCTTCTGCTCTCTCATTCATCTCATAAGTTTTCTGAAGCCTTGCTCTCTTGGTCACTGCCTTGTGTTTCCTTGAACACCGCTGTAATCTGGTCTCTTGTGACATTTCAGGCATATCTTGCTGTTGTTCAGGGTAAGCAGGCCTATGGACCCTCAGATAAACTTCGATTTTCTTGCCATTAGTACTCAAACTGAGTTGTTGGCACCAGTCCCGCAAAGTGTCCCAACACACCTTATTAATGGGAGGCAAAATGGTCGGCAAGGGAAGAGCTGGTATTTTGCATCTAGCTTTTTGTGGAGCTGTAAATTGTTAATTTGTTTGAAGTAGATGACCTTGATTGTATTTCATAGGTTTCTCCAGTTTGACATCAGAAGTTGAAGAAACACTTGGTTCTGTTTGTTCCATATTTGGGTCATCTTTAACTGGCAGCAATGTCAAAATCACACTTTCCTCATCAGCTACTTCCCCCTCAAAGAAATTCTTCTTGCTGCTATCCAAATTTGAGTCTGACATTTTCAGCAACACCCCTGTCTTGTCCATTCGGTGATACATTTTTTTTAAAATTAGGCCTGGCATGATGGCTCATGCCTGTAATCCCAGCGCTCTGGGAGGCTCAGGCAGGCAGATCACTTGAGTCCAGGAGTTCGAGATCAGCCTGGGAAACATGGTGAGACCCCAGTCTCTGGGACTACAGGCGTGCACCACCACACCTGGCTAATTTTGTATTTTTAGTAGAGACGGGTTTCACCAGGCTTGACCACTCCCTCTTTGGCTTCGTTCTCATTCATCCCCTGACCACAGTCAGGGGAGTCCCTCCAGGCTGAGGCCTCATGTCTTCGCTGCACACAAGTGCAGAACCCACTCAGTGAACCCCAGGCCCCAATCTCTGGCTCTCTCCCTTCTTTGCAGGGGGAAGAATTTGGAGGGAAGGAAGGAAGTCTGTGATTGTCACCTACCATTTATTTTCTTCTTTTTTTTTTTTTTTTTTTTTGAGACAGAGTCTCACTCTGTTGCCCAGGCTGGAGTGCAGTGGTGCAATCTCGGCTGACTGCAAGCTCCACCTCCTGGGTTCACACCATTCTCCTGCCTCAGCCTCCTGAGTAGCTGGGACTACAGGAGCCCGCCACCACGCCCGGCTAATTTTTTGTATTTTTAGTAGAGACAGGGTTTCACCGTGTTAGCCAGGATGGTCTCGATCTCCTGACCTCGTGATCTGTCTGCCTTGGCTTCCCAAAGTGCTGGGATTACAGGCGTGAGCCACCACACCCGGCTGTCACCTACCATTTCTATGGAGCACCTATCGTGTGCCAGGTGCCACACAGGTATTTTATTGCCTGATCTCACTTAATACTCATAGCCACCTCTAGTTTTCTAAGGCACAAACTGAGGCTCAGAGGGGTTAACCGAAATACTCAAAGTCACACAGCTAGGAGGTAGCCAGACCAGGATTAGAGCCCAGGTTGGTGTGGCTCCATTCACAAGTACATTTTGAGGGCCTACAATATATCAAATGTATCCAGAGAAACAGCAGTAAACAGACAAGTCCTGCCTCATGGAGCTTTGTTCTAGTGGGAGAAACAAACAGGTAAATAAACAACAGGATTGCTAGTAAAGAGCATGCCATGAAAAATAAAAAGATAACGTAGGTTATATAGCTGATGGAGAGCTTTTTTTTTCTTTTTCTTCAGACAGTCTCGCTCTGTCACCCAGGCTGGAGTGCAATGTCGCAATCTTGGCTCATTGCAACCTCCGCCTCCTGGGTTCAAGTGATTCTCCTACCTCTGCCTCCCAGGAAGCTGGGATAACAGGCATGCGCGCCACCATGCCTGGCTGATTTTTGTAGTTTTAGTAGAGACAGGGATTCACCATGTTGGCCAGGCTGGTCTCAAACTCCTGATCTCAAGTGATCCGCCCGCCTCAGGCTCCCAAAGTGCTGGGATTATAGGCGTGAGCCACCGCGCCCGGCCAAGGGGAACTATTTTAGGTAAGATAAGAAAAGGAAAGTCCTCTCCGGGAGGTGACATTTGAGCAGAGGTGTGAATGAAGTAAGAGAGTGAACCCTGAGAAATGGAGAAAGAATGTTCCAGGTGGAGGGCATAGCAGGAGCAGAGCCTGACAGGAGCATACCAGGCATGTCCAGTGATCCGCAAAGATACCCGGTGGCAGGAGAGCGGCGAACGAGGGACAGAGTGGTAGGAGAGAGTGCCCGACGGAGTGGGCCGGGGCCTGGGGGGTTCACAGACTTGGCCAAGACTTTGGATTTGTTTGAAGTGTGATGGGGGAGGCGCAGGAGGATTTCAAGCAGAAGGATGACACCATTCCCATTCCTCAGATGAGGGATGAGACAGACAAGAGACTCTGCCCCCTCCATCACTCCATCACTGCTCCATCACTGTCACCCACTGTGTGCACACTGAGCTCTCCTGGACCCCTTTCTGAACTTAGCATAGTGAAGTGATCAAGAGCACTGGCTTTCAGGTCTGAGAGAAGTGGGTTCCCAGCCCAGCTGCAATACTTACTGGCTGTCTGACCATGGGCAATCCTGTCCCTCTCTAAGCCTCAGTTTTCTCATCTGGAAAATGGGACAATAATTTTTGTCTCATGGCATTGTATCATTGGGGTGATTTGATGAGTTCTTACTTGTAAAACACTCAGCTCCAGGCAGGCTACATAGGGCTCTCTCAATAAGCACTCATAGTTTGTTACTATTATTTTTTAATTTTTTTTGAGACAGGAGCTTGCTCTTTTGCCCAGGCTGGAGGGCAATGGCTCAATCATAGCTCACTGCAACCTCAAACTCCTGGGCTCAAGCTATGCTCTGGCCTCAGCCTCCAAGTAGCTAGGTCTATGAATGCGCGCCACCATGCCTGGCTAATGTTTTTATTTTTAGTAGAAATGGTATCTTGCTATGTTGCCCAGGCTGGCCTCAAACTCCTGGGCTCAGGCAATCCTCTTGGCTCAGCCTCCCAAAGTGCTGAGATTACAGGCATGAGCCACCGCACCCCACTTGTGATTATTATTATTTAAAGTTTCAGCTCTGTTCTGGCACTTTGTAATCGCTCATTAAAGGTAACTATCATTGTGATTATTCTCCTCATCCTGTTCCACCTGTTAAAGACACATTAGCCAGGAATACCCTTTACTGAGAGGCCAAGAAAGAATAATGATGACAGACCCTCTCCCCAGGACAGGTCCTTTCCAGAACCTCTGCTCTTGAACATCATAGAAAAACCTCGGCCGGGCGCGGTGGCTCACACCTGTAATCCCAGCACTTTGGGAGGCTGAAGCGGGCAGATCACGAGGTCAGGAGATCGAGACCATCCTGGCTAACATGGTGAAACCCTGTCTCTACTAAAAATACAAAAAATTAGCCGGGTGTGGTGGCAGGTGCCTGTATTCCCAGCTACTTGGGAGGCTGAGGCAGGAGAATAGCTTGAACCTGGGAGGCGGAGGTTGCAGTGAGCCAAGATCGCGCCACTGCCCTCCAGCCTGGTGACAGGGAGAGACTCCGTCTCAAACAAAGAAAAAAAAAAGAAAAAGAAAAACCTCCCAGGCTTCAGAAGAGGGACCCAAAACCCGGCCCTCAGCCCCTGTCAGTTCAGCCCCCTGCTCCTTGCCAGAACTGCCTCTTTGACAGGGCGCAGAGTGGTAGCCTCACTTGTGTCTAGCAAAGCCCTTTCACACTCACAAGTCACTCATTTAACAAACATCTCAAGGCCAGGCGAAACCCCGTCTCTACAAAAATCTTTTAAAAATAAAAAAAAAAAAAAATAGCTGAGTAGTGGTGCATGCCTATAGTCCCAGCTACTTGGGAGGCTGAGGTGGGAGAATTGCTGGAGCCCAGGATGTTGAGGCTGCAGTGAGCCATGATTGCACCACTGGACTCTAGCTTGGGCAACAAAACAAGATCCTGTCTCAAAAAAAAAAAAAAAAAAAGCTAGAATTTATCCATCACTCAGAGTGTAGCATTTCAGAGCATGAGATTAGATTGCCTGGGTCTGAGTTGCAAATTTACCATTGCATAGCTGGGTGATGTTGGACATATCATTCATTTAGTCTTTTTGAGTACCTGTGTGCCAGGCAGTGTGTCAGGTGTCAGGAAGACAATGAAGAGCCAACAAGACCCAACAGCTGCCCTCTCACAGTTTACAGTCTAATTTAAAAGCCAGATGTAGGCCGGGGGCAGTGGCTCACGTCTGTAATCCCAGCACTTTGGGAGGCTGCGGTGGGCAAATCACCTGAGGTCAGGAGTTCGAGACCAGCCTGACCAACATGGAGAGACCCAGTCTCTACTAAAAATACAAAAAATTAGCTGGTGTGTGGTGGGCGCCTGTAATCCCAGCTACTCGGGAGGCTGAGGCAGGAGAATCGCTTGAACCCAGGAGGCAGAGGTTGCAGTGAGCCAAGATTGTGCCATTGCACTCCAGTCTGGGCAACGAGGGTGAAACTCTGTCTCAAAAAAAAAAAAAAGCCAGATGTTAATCAAATAGTCACATAAACAAATGTAAAAAAGTACAACTTTGAGAAGCACTGTCAAGTATTGATTGCTATGGGTATGAGTACTACGGAGGTGAGGGAAAATGTCCTGGAGGAAGTGATGTAGAGCTGAGCTGGCTTGAAGAACAAAGAAGACTGTTTCAAGTACAAGGAGTGGCATGTGCGAAAGCCCTGCGGCAGAACTGAAGGAAAGCCAGTGTGGCTGGAGCCACGAGAGAGGTGGAGCACACTTTTGTGCACTGAAACTTTAGCAGCATCTGTACCTGTGGGCTACAGTTTGTTCTGCACAGCTCTCTGATGAGTGACTGCTATGCCTACTCCAGAGATGGGCAAGCTGACCCCTAGAGAAGCTCTCCAGGTAGAGCCCAGATGTCCTCTGGGCTCCCCTCTTACCAGCATGACCCACTCATGGGAGAGGGGACACAGGAAGTGAAGCTTATTCATAAAAGGTTGAAAGCACAACCAATCAATCAGTCCTTAAGTGAGAGGATGCTCTTGATAGGGAGATTACTTTGAGAGGGAGAAGAAAGAGGGTCAGGGACCCAGGAAGGGAGAAAGCTGAAGGTAGAACCACTCCTGCTTTCCCTCACCTCCTCTACTCCTGCCATCCACCCCACCTCTCTGGCCCATCCCCTGACCCTCATCCTGTGGGTCTCAGTGTCTCTCTTCCTAACTTAAATGTGGCTGACTCCAAGCCAGGTATCTGGCAGCTACGTGCGATCTGTTCCAATTCCTGAGTACAATTACTAGATCTAGCAAACCAAAATACATGATACCCAATTTGAATTTCAGATAAACAACACATACACTTTTAGTCAAAATATGTTCAAGTATAACAGCTCAAACTGGGAGCAGCAAGAGCTGGGGCATCACAACCTGCTTCCAGGTAACTGAACTGGACGATCCCCACACTGATGTGAATAATGGCTGCCAACTCTGGTCCAGGCTGCCGTCTGTTTTGTCCTCACCTTTTCTCATCAGGGAGGTGGAGACTATGTGAACAAAAGAACACACTCTGCGCTGGGCGCAGTGGCTCACACCTGTAATCCTAGCACTTTGGGAGGTCGATGGTGGCAGATCACCTGAGGTCAGAAGTTCAAGACCAGCCTGGTCAACATGGTGAAACCCCGTCTCTACTGAAAATACAAAAAATTAGCTGGACATGGTGGTGGGCACCTGTAATCTCAGCTACTCGAGAGGCTGAGGCAGAAGGAGAATGGCTTGAACCTGGGAGGTAGAGGTTCCAGTGGGCTGAGATGGTACCATTGCACTCCAGCCTGGGCAACAAGAGTGAAACTCTGTCTAAAAAATAAATTAATAACACACTCTGGAGCCAGACTGTCAGGTTGTCTCTCAGCTCTGCCATTTTTCAGTCCTGTGGCTTTTTTTTTTTTTTTGAGTTGGAGTTTCCCTCTTGTTGCCCAGGCTGGAGTGCAATGGCACAGTCTCAGCTCACTAAAACCTCCACCTCCCAGGTTCAAGTGATTCTCCTGCATCAGCCTCCCGAGTTGCTGAGATTACAGACACCCGCCACCACGCCCAGCTACTTTTTTTTTCTTTTTTTTTCTTTTTTTTGTATTTTTAGGGGAGACGGGATTTCACCATGTTGGCCAGGCTGGTCTTGAACTCCTGACCTCAGGTGATCCACCCGCCTTGGCCTCCCAAAGTGCTGGGATTACAGGCGTGAGCCACCGCGCCTGGCTGCAGTCCTGTGGCCTTGGAGGGACCCAAGTAATGGGATGCTTACTTTCTCTGCCCTCAGTTTCCCCATCTGTACACTGGAGAGAATAATAGCACATAACACATAAGATTACAAGGACTACCTTAGTTTATGCAGGTAAAAAATGCATAGAACAGTGCCTGGTCCATAGTAAGTGCTATGTTAGTGTTAGCTGTCATTATTTATTTAGTTACACCACAATGAATGTAAACTCCGTAAAGGCAAATACTTTATTTATTATGTATTTTATTATTTATTTTTTAGCAATGGGGTCTCACTCTGTCGCCCAAGCTGGAATGCAATAGTGTGATCATAGCTCACTAGAGTCTCAAATTCCTGAGCTCAATGGATCATTCTACCTCAGCCTCCTGAGTAGCTAGGATTACAGGTACCCAGCTAAGGACTTTAATTTATTCATTGCTATATTCTCAGCATCTAGTAGAAAGCCTGAGCCACATCCCCTGGTGTGCTGAGGCAAGAGGATTGCTTGAGGGCAGGAGTTCAAGGCTGTAGTGTGCTATGGTTGCGTCTATGAATAGCCACTGCACTCCAGCCTGGGCAACATAGCGAGACCCCATCTTTACAAATAATAATAATAATAGGCCAGGCGCAGTGGCTTATGCCTGTAATCCCAGCACTTTAGGAGGCCAAGACGAGCAGATCATGTGGTTAGGAGATTGAGAGCATACTGGCCAACATGGTGAAACCTCGTCTCTACTAAAAATATATATATATAAAATTAGCCAGGTGTGGTGGCACACGCCTATACAAAAATTAGCCAGGTGGGCCGGGCGCGGTGGCTCACGCCTGTAATCCCAGCACTTTGGGAGGCCGAGGCGGGCGGATCACGAGGTCAGGAGATCGAGACCATCCTGGCTAACACGGTGAAACCCCGTCTCTACTAAAAATACAAAAAATTAGCCGGGCGTGGTAGCGGGCGCCTGTAGTCCCAGCTACTCGGGAGGCTGAGGCAGGAGAATGGCGTGAACCCGGGAGGCGGAGCTTGCAGTGAGCCGAGATCGCACCACTGCACTCCAGCCTGGGTGACAGAGCGAGACTCCGTCAAAAAAAAAAAAAAAATTAGCCAGGTGTGGTGGCACATGCCTATAGTCCCAGCTACTTGGGAGGCTGAGCAGGAGAATCATTTGAACCCGGGAGGCGGAGGTTGCAGTGAGCCGAGATCAGGCTACTGAACTGCACTCCAGCCTGGGCGACAGAGTGAGACTCCATCTCAAAATAATAATAATAATAATAAAAAGAAGGCTTGGCTTACAATACATGCTCAGAAAGAGGGTCTAGTGTGTAATATATAGCCATAAATAAGCCAGGTGTGGTGGCTGTAATTCCAGCATTTTGGGAGGCTGGAGGATCGCTTGAGGCCAGGAGTTTAAGACCAGCCTGGGCAAGATAGTGAAACCCCATCTCTACAAAAACAAAACATATAAAAAATTAGCTGGGGACCTGGCACAGTGGCTCACGCCTATAATCCCAGCACTTTGGGAGGCCAAGATGGGCAGACCATGAGGTCAGGAGATTGAGACCATCCCAGCTAATACAGTGAAACCCCGTCTCTACTGAAAATACACAACGTTAACCAAGCGTGGTGGCACGCACCTGTAGTCCCAGCTACTCAGGAGGCTGAGGCAGGAGAATTGCTTGAACCTGGGAGGTGGAGGTTGCAGTGAGCTGAGATTGAGCCACTGCACTCCAGCCTGTTGACAGAGCAAGACTCTGTCTCAAAAGAAAAGAAAAAAAATTAGCTGGGCATGGTGGCACACACCTGAAGTGCCAGCTACTTGTGGGAGGTGGGAGGATCGCCTGAGCCCAGAAGTTCAAGGCTGCAGTGAACTACGATTTTACCACTGCACTGCAGCCTAGGCAACAGAGCGAGACTCCGTCTCTAAAAAACAAATAAAAAATATATAGCTGTAAATTTATTGAATTAAAATGAATCTTGTCCTATATACCTGAAAGATTGAGATTATAATTCCCATTTTACAGATGGAGAAATTGAGGTTTAGAGGCATAAAATGAGTTTCCCTGTGTTAAGAAGGTAGCAGAGCTGGAATTCAAACCCAGAATTGTTGGGTTCCAAAGTCCTTTCACTCAAAATTCAGTTCAACAGCTGAGGTCCTACCCTGGGAAAGCCATGGAAAAGGGGGAGCACGTGGATTCTGGAGAAATCCTTATCCACTTTGATTTTTTTTTTTTTGAGATGGAGTCTCTGTCGCCCAGGCTGGAGTGCAGTGGGGGCTATCTCCGCTTACTGCAAGCTCCGCCTCCCGGGTTCACACCATTCTCCTGCCTAAGCCTCCCGAGTAGCTGGGACTACAGGTGCCTGCCACCACGCCCTACTAATTTTTTGTATTTTTAGTAGAGACAGGGTTTCATCATGTTAGCCAGGATGGTTTCAATCTCCTGACCTCGTGATCCGCCCGCCTCGGCCTCCCAGTGCTGGGATTACAGGTGTGACACTTTGATTTTTTTAAGCCCTAGTCTGTTCTCAACCTCTTGTGTGACCTTGGGTAAGTCACTTCATCTTTCCGAGCTTGTTTCAGGATTTGTAAACTAGGTGGTGGTAATCATTCAAGGAAATCACATGGCTCGCAGGAAGCTTTTGATAAACATTCCTTCCCATTCCCCTGCCTTAGAACAGCTTTGCAAATAACTGACCAGTCTTCCTGCGAAACCAGCAAGCTTGTCCCTCCAGCAAGCTCACTCCTCACATGTGAATACATCTCAGCACACCCGGACCCCTAAGGCTCTTTAGGTGGAGGCTGAATCTCTCTGGGGCAACCAGTCTCCCTGGCCTTTCACTCCAAGTCCCACCAAGCCTCGGTTCATCCTGGGAGCCTGGTCCCTCCTCAGAGAGTCGCAAACCCAAACTAGTCCAGAGCTGGGGCTGCAGGTGACTCCAGGGAGACCTGACCTGAAAGGACCCCCTTCAAGTGATAGGGCAGAGCACAGATTGCAAAAACGCATATTAAGAAATCACTCTTGGCCGGGCGCGGTGGCTCATGCCTGTAATCCCAGCACTTTGGGAGGCCGAGGCAGGAGGATCACTTGAGCCGGGGAGTCAGAGACCAGCCTAGGTAACAAAGCGAAACTTCGTGTCTCTCTCTCTCTCACTATATACACACATACATACATATATGTGCATATATATAATATTTATTTATACATATTTATTTATATATGTAATATTTATATACATTATGTAAAATCAATCGATCAATCAATCACTCTGTGGTGGCACTATGGGTCCTGATGGTGGTAACAACTGCTGATGCCCATCTTGGCCTGGGGCACTGAGATCGCCCGGAGATCACAGTGTTAGCTTCAGGGCGGGGTAGAAATTAGAGGATAGGGGATCTCTAGGGCCTGGTGAGTTGAGGGCCTAAGGGGAGTGGGTCTCAGGCTCCTTCCAAGCCTCAGCCTAGATCAGGCCCAGGAACCCAGTGTGAATGTGTGTGCTGGGGTCGGGGATAAGGTGCTTCTCTCCCGTTGGAAGGAGAAGGAACATCTGGGCTGGGATTCCAAAAGAGCTGAGCGGGGGAGAACGGTGGCCCTGGTGTGGTGTGTCCAGGGGTACACCACTGGAAGGGAAGGAGCCAGCAGGGCCTCTCCGGCGGAGCCGAGCGCGGGCCGGGGGCTCGCGGCAGGGGCGGGGCCGGCCCTCGGGGCGCGGCGGGGGCGGGGGTCCGCGCTGGGAATGCCGCGCCGCGGGGGCTGGGGCGGGGCTTCTCCGGCTCCGCCCCCGCGCAGGTAGCCAATGGGCGCGGCGGCGCCGGGTGACGGAGGGAGCCGAAGTGCTAGTGCCGCGGCGGCGGCGGCGGACGGCCCAGCCGGAGCGCGAGGGGCTCGGGGGGGCGCGGCGGTTCGGGTCGCAGAGCCAGGGACCCCAGGACCCGGGAGGCGGCGCAGCCGGGGCCGCCGGAGGAGCGCGGGTGACCTGGCGGCGGCGAGATGCCGCTCGCCCAGCTCAAGGAGCCCTGGCCGCTCATGGAGCTAGTGCCTCTGGACCCGGAGGTGAGTGAGCGGGGCGGGGGACGGGCGCCCGCGGCCGGCGAGCCCGGATCCTCACAGGGGCGGGGCGGCCCGAAGCGCCGCTGCAGTCCGGCGGGCGCCCGCGAGGGCGCGAGTGCCCTCCGATCTCTTGCCCACTGTCCGGCTCCACCCCCCTATGCCCGGGTGTGCGTGTGCGAGGGACAGTTCCGCCAAGCGCCGACTACCTCCCCGCCATAGCCAGGAGAGGGGATCCTATGGGGCGCTGAGATCTGGTCGCCTTCACCCCACACCTAGGACCCGTCCCGGCATCTGTCCAGAGCTGTCGGAGCTTCCTCCATTAATGCAGACGGGGAGATCTTCAGTGCCAGATGTCTGGGATTCTACCAGAGACAGGGGTTATGGGACCCCCACTTCTCCCAGGGCCCTCCGCCAAGAGCTCCCTGCTTCTGGCTTCACCGCTGCTGAGCCTAGAAGGATTGCTCCTCTTGACCCCTGGCGGATGCGGAGTGTGGGATGGCACCACCCGTCTGGGGCTGGAACTCCTGGTTTTCTTTGCCCTGAGGCTAGGGCCAGAGGACACCTGTGTGCCCTACCCCAGGCTGTGGAGACGAGAGTGGGGAAGAGCCCTTAGACCTTGTGAAGATGATTCCTGGCAGGGCGTGGGGGGACCTTGGTGCCTGCCTCCCTTCTTATGCCCCTTCCGGTAGGAAGGGCTGGGCCCTTGGGGAGTTTGGCTTCTGCCAGCCCAGACTCCCCAGACAACCCAGCTCCTTCTCTCTCAGAAGCAGCTCCTGACCTCCCTTGAGGGCTCTGTGGCTCCAGTCCCTAAGCGTGCAGAAGGCCACCTCTTCCTGTGCCTTTTGACCCCAGGGTCAAGGTCAAGCCCCTGAATGAGCTGGTGGAAAACTTCCTCCTTAACCTCTTGCTGGGAAGGAAGCAGGTGATATTCTCCTTCCCAGGTGGTTGTTGGGGGTATGCAGGGAGGGAATGGAGACCTCATTTGAGCCCAGGAGCTGAGATGACTTTCTCCCAGCTTGGGCCTGGAGCCCCTGTCTCAGTCCCCTCCTCTGCCCTCTCTTACCTAGGGCAGCCACCAAGTGTCCTGCCTCTCAGGACCACAGGCTTAGATCAGGGTGAGCACCCAGGGTCCCCAGCCCCCAGGGTGTGCTGCCCCTTTAAAGGGATGGCCGACACTGGCTATTGGAGGGTGGGCGCGGCAGGATTAGGTAACCAACCTGAAGGAGCAATTTGGAGTAAATTGCTCTGGGATTCCTGCCATGGGGATTTTACAGGCACTGCTAGGCTGCTCAGAGGTTCTCTCGCTGACTCACCCTCTGAGGTGAGGAACACTGCCCTCTGCAGCCCCTGTACTGCCACCCCGCTACTAGGACCGGGGCGCAAGGTCCTGGGGGTGGTGCTCAGAGGTGGATTCCTTTGCCCAGGCACGCCCCTGGGACCAGGCCTCCAAAGGAGAAGGTAGGGCTGGGAGAGGCTGGGGAGTGACTTTATGCTGATAGGGAGGGTGGACACCCAGGAGCTCGATCCTGGGGCACCACTTCCTGCTTCTCTTTAGGGAATCCTGAGGCAGGGGCCAGCTTCACCAGGGAGCCAGGTTTAACTGGGAAACTCATCTCAGTTTTGAGTTCTGTAACATCTCAGGTCTGTGAGAGGGGAAGACCAGCGGACTTCCTGGGATTGGTGGGGCAGGGGGACGCAATTTCCTCAGGAGCTTCGCTCCAGAAACGATGTGTGATCCTCAGTCAGTCCTCAGCCTGTCTGGGCCTCTGCTTCTCCAGTGGCAAGTGCTAGGTTCTAGCCTCCACTTCCTGGGCCTGAGAGGGTGCAGAGCGCTGGGTACTGTTGTCTGGTCCCCCCTCCCCCACTCCTGGAGGTGCCAGGCGACTGGGTGTTATTGTTTGGGTAACAGGAGCCACAGGGCAGCCACGGCGCAGGTTGGGCTGTTCTCACTGGAGAACAGGGCCTCGCTGTTCTTAGCCCAGGTGACATGTAAGCGATACAGCCGCCTGACCTGCACGTACAGGCACCACCACTGCTGGCAGCTCCTAGCCAGGAAGGAGGCAGGTGAGGGGCTGGTGGGGGACTTTTCACAGGGACCTAGGATCTGGACTGCCCTGCCCTCCCTTAATGCTGCTGAAAATGGGCCGCTGGGAGGCAGGGCCTGGCCCAGGGTGCAGCCCAGGTGGAGTAATCTATGGGAAGCGTGGGTGAGGATTCTGCCTGGGCCTCGCTTAGCCCTGTTGAAAGCAGTAGCCTTGTCCCCAGGCCCAGTTCTGCCACGTACAGAGCTTTACTATGTGCCACCCACTCTGCCTTACGAATGTCACCCCACTTTAATTCTCACAACAGCTTCTCAAGATAGGGATTATTACCCCTGTTTTCAGATGGGACAACTGAAAACTCAGGCTTATGTGTTAATATCAGAGCCAGGATTGGAACCAAGATCTCTCTCTTCCACCAAGTGGGAGAGAGGCTCAGGGATGGGGAAGGGCTGGAGCCACACTAGCCCAGGTGGAAGGTGCTCCAAGAGAGGCTCCGGATGTTGGCGGACTCTCCTTATCCTGCAAGGCCCTCGTCCAGTCTTTGCCGAGGGCTGGCAGTGCCAGCCAGCCCTGGCACCTGGCCCCCAGCCTCCAGCAGTGAGCAGGGCTGCCAATGCTGGGCTCAGAACCCAGCTCCTGGGGCTGCTTCCTGCCTGTGGGGCACGTGCTGTCCTTCTCCATCTGCTGCCCAGCTTCTCCAGACGCTGCCCTGGGCCCCTCTTTCTAAGACAGAGTTGCTTGGGTGGGAAGGAATGATGCCAGTTGGAACCCATTTCTGACATCTCAGAACTGGGGGCAGTGGTCTGGGGCCCTGGGCATCTGTCCTCATGAGCAGTGCTCTCTGAGGAAGAGGGAGGAGTGTGGGTCTTCAACCTCTAAGAGGCCAAAGGACTCCTAAGACAAAGTCCTTCATTCAGTACTCTGCAAGGTCAGCACCATTGTCCCCATTCAGTCATTTATTTAGCACTTAGGTGATAAGTACTATTTCAGACAACAAAGTGCAGATGTCAGCAAGACACACCTGCCCTCGTGATACAGATGAGGAAACTGAGACTTTATTACTATTATTATTTTTTGAGACATAGTCTTGCTCTGTCACCAGGCTGGAGTGCAGTGGCGTGATCTCGGCTCACTGCAACCTCCACCTCCCGGGTTCAAGTGATTCTCCTGCTTCAGCCTCCTGAGTAGCTGGGACTACAGGCCCGTGTCACCATGCCCAGCTAATTTTTGTATTTTTAGTAGAGTCAGGTTTTCACCATGTTGACCAGGATGGTCTCGATCTCTTGACCTCGTGATCCTCGTGATCTGTGAGGCCTCTTGGCCTCAGCCTCCCAAAGTGCTGGGATTACAGACATGAGCCACTGCGCCTGGCCGAAACTGAGACTTCAAAAAGTGATATGAGGCCACGCGTGGTGGCTCATGACTGTAATCCTAGCACTTTGGGAGCCTGAGGCGGGTGGATCACCTGAGGTCAGGAGTTTGAGACCAGCTGGGCCAACATGGCGAAACCCCGCCTCTACTAAAAATACAAAAATTAGCCAGGTGTGGTGGTGCGGCCTATATTCCCAGCTACTTGGGAGGCTGAGGCAGAAGAATTGCTTGAACCCAGCGGGGCAGAGGTTGCAGTGAGCTGAGATTGCGCCGCTGCACTCCAGCCTGGGCAAAAGAGTGAAACTGTCTCAAAAAATAAATAAAAATAAAAATAAAAAGTGATATGACAGACCCAAGGGCAGAATAAGTGGCTGGCAGAGCTAGGATTAGTGGCTGTATCTTTGTGGCTGCACAGCTGTGTTCTTTCAAGGATTGCTATGCAGCAGTCAGGCCAGAGGGGCAGATGACCCCGGACCCAGGACCCAGGCTCTGAGTGGGAAGCCAGCACCCCACAACCCCCCTGACCCCCCTACCAGTCTGTTCTCCAGGGCTGCCTGTTCCCTTACTCTTACAGGTTTGGCGTTCCATAAGAATGACACCCAAGCCAGAGATCCAGGGAGTAGAGGCAGCCAGACTGCCTTAGAGCGGGGGGTCCCTAAGTCATCCAGGCCACTGCTCAAGAAACCCACACCTCTAGGTACACCTACCCCTTCCTCCCCACCCTCAGTAGGCTTGCAGCCACGTGACTTTGGGTTATGGTCACATGTCTGCCACCTGCCTGCTGAGGGACCTCGGTGAGTCCCTTAACTCTCCTGAGCCTCATCTGAAAAATAGGAGTAATAGAACCTGCTCTGGCCTCCTTGCTGTCTTTGCTGGGTTGAACTTTCACTGGATAAACCACATGCTGGACTCTGGCTGGGTGCCAAGATGTTGATGATGGACAAGCCATGGCCCCTTCCCGAGTTAACCTGCAGCATGCTTAGGTTATGGGGGTAGAGAGGAGGGAGGAAAGAACATGAGGCTGTGTGGACAGGGGTGACATTTGAATTCAGTCCTGATAAAAGATCAGGAGTTTGCCAAAGTGACAAGGCAGGAAAGGCTTTCTTGGTAGAGGGAGCCACCATACAAATGCTGGGGATATAAAATAGACTGTTTTCAGGGTCTGTGGTTGTTCAGTTTAGCTCAAAAATAGGGCCCAATGATAAGAATGGCTATTGTTTGTAGGCCAGTTACATGTCAGGTGTATATATTTATAGGCATTATTTCATTTGCTTCTTGCCGCCACCATTGAGGTATGTTACTTTGATCCGCATTTCACAGATGAGGAAACTGAAGCCCCAGTAAATGAACTAACCTTCTAGGGGTCACGCAGGTGGTAGAAGCCAGAATTTGAACCCACAAGGTCAGGTTGCAAAACCTACATTCCTAGTTATTGTGCTGGGCAGTTGAAGATGATGGCCTTGATTTCTATGCTAAGGAGCTGGGACTTGATTCTACAGGCAGTGGAAGCCACAGAGGGGTTTGGGGCCTGGTACATAGAAGGTTCTCAGCAAATGTTGACTGAGTGAGTTGAGTGCAGCAGTTGCACTTGATTTTAGGAATGATGAGGGTTTGGAGTGGGGAAGGCTGTGGGGCAGGGAGCTGGTGGGTAGGCTGTTCTGATCATCTGCAGGAATTATGTCAAGAGTCTAGAATGCTGGGTGAAGTGGAGCTCAGTCTACAAAAGCATCCCTACCACAGCCCAGCCCCTGGGCCCTGACCAACCCATCCCTTCTCCCCAGGCTGCTGAGAGATGACAGTGTGTGTATGGATGTGTGCATGGAGGGGCCTGTAGAACATTTGGCCCCTGGGGAGAGATTAGGGGCATTAAAGGGGCTCAGGGGGCAGGATGTCCTGGGAGTGGCAATGGGGAGCTGTTCCAGGGGCAGGGAGATTATGTAATGGGTAGAGCACAGCTGTGCCTACCCAGCTGTAGCCAAGCAGGGCTACAGCTGCCCCATGGACCCAGCTCCTGGCTCCAAAGTCCAGATCCAGACCTGTTCTAGAGCAGGCCTTCCTAGCTGTTGGGAACCTCCTGTCTGCCTCACCACACTCTCCCTGTTCTAGGAGGGGTGGGGCAATTTCTTTCAGCTTCCAAACGCCCAGATAGGGTAGGTTACTTGCCTCACATCACACAGGAAACAGATGGGCTGGGTTTGACACACCCCAGCATATTTAATAACCACCTGAGAGTGAAGTCTGGGGGCTGGAAAAGGCAAGACTGACCAGAGGGGGGCTCTGGGCTCTGGGCTGTTTCTCAGCTGACCTGTTTGGAGCACCTCCTGGATTTGGGACCAGATTTTGAATCCCCACTCACCAGTTGTGTGACCATAGGCATCATCACTAGGTCCCCTCAGAGCCTCAGTTTCCTTCTCTGCCACATGGGGCCAGGGCCTACCTCCCAGGGCTGTCATGAGGATTAAATGGTGCCACAGGGGCCAGGCGCAGTGGCTCACACCTGTAATCCCAGCACTTTGGGAGGCCGAGGCGGGCGGATCACCTGAGGTCAGGAGTTTGAGACCAGCCTGGCCAACGTGGTGAAACCCCGTGTCTACTAAAAAAAATACAAAAATTAGCCGGGCATGGTGGCGTACGCCTGTAATCCCAGCTACTTGGGAGGCTGAGGCAGGAGAATCGCTTGAACCTGGGAGGCGGAGGTTGCAGTGAGCTGCGATTGCACTACTGCACTCCAGCCTCAGCAACAGAGCAAAACTCTGTCTAAAAAAAAAAAAAAAAAAAAAAAAAGTGGTGCCACAGGTGCGAGGCACTGAGCCCAGTGCCTGCCATGTGGCAGAGGCTTGGAAGAGAGCAGCTGTTAGCCCCAAGCCCTCGTCTCTGCCCTCGTGGGACTCCCCATTTATTAGGAAGGGCAGGCCTGTGTGTAAATAGTCCCTGCAGTGGGACAAGTGCTACAATGAAGGCTGAAGTGGAGGCAGCAGTCATTCTGCCTGGCAAGGTCAGGGGAGGGGTCCCAGAGTGGGGCAGGGCAAGGATAGCCACCATCTCTGGGTTGCATGCTTTCCCAGACTTTGTCTCCTTCCACCCTTGCAGCAACTCTGGGAAGTCAGTGTAACTACCCCACCCCATGTTACAGATGGGGAAACTGAGTCCTCTCACAGTTGACTAGTTTGTACAAGGTTTGTATCTGGTAGAGCTGGAAGCCACACATGACCCTTCCCTTCTCCCTGGGAGGAGGTGACATTTGAACTAAGTCTTCAGAGATGAAGTGTTTGCCAGGCAGACAGCATGAGGGTCAGAATGCTGGTCCCTGGGAATATTCTGCCTGAGTCATGAGGCGCCATTGCCAGAATACTTGGTCCCTGTGCCTACACCATGAAAGTGGAGGTGGAGGGACCCACCCAGGACTCCTGCCCTACCACCATGGCCTCCATGGCTATTGGGAGCACCTAAGGGTGGGGGTGCCCCACAGAGTCTTTCTCCCAAGCGTGTAAGTTCTGACAGTGCTCCCCCAATCTCCTTTCTCTTTTCCAGAATGGACAGACCTCAGGGGAAGAAGCTGGACTTCAGCCGTCCAAGGTGAGGACCATGGCCAGCACCCTGAGCGAGGGGCTGTGGGGGATCCTGTTTGCATGGCTTTGGAGGAGGTTGAGGGCTCCAGCCTCTAGCCCCTTTGCCCAACTCAGCCGTCCTTCTCAGGGCCCACCGAATCCTTGTGGCAACCCTGGGCATAGAAATCACTTGTTCCAACCTTCCTATTTTGTAGGTGAGGCGACTGTGGCCCAGAAAGGGTCAGGAGCAGAATCCAGGTCAGGGCTCTGGTTACCTGTCACCCAGGCCAGGATGCCCCTGCAGTTTATTTACTCATGGAATTTGGGCTGGCTCTAAGGAGTGATGGGAGGGGCTCAGGCCAGCTGTCCTGCTCCTTTTGGTAGAGCTGCGCTTGCCAAGAGCCTGGAAGTGAGCATCTGGGCACGTGAGCTGGAAAGGGGGTGCTGGTGGCCGCTCAAGGCTAACCAGGCCCATTGCCTGGCATGTGGCACTCATGGCATTTCTTAGGGCTTCCACTTCCCAGTGTGAGGGTCATTCCCTCACCCCTGCTATCTCTGCTTCCCCTGGGCCCCTTCCTGTAGCCCCCTAGCCCCTGTTGCTGGTTTTGTGTTTTGCCAGAAGCACCAGGACTAGGTGACAGTGGTGTGACCTTGGGGAGGTTCCTTGTACACTCTGGGCCTTGGCTTTCTCATCTGTATATTGGAAAAGACCACATCCCCTTCACAGGGTGGCTGTGAGGTCACAGGAGATGCTGGCTATGGAGGGTCTTTGGAAGCTGCTTAGGCAGGGACAGAGCATGGTGTTAGAGCAAATCCGGGTTCCAGTCCTGGCTCCATCCCCACCATTTAACCAGAAGCTCTTCTCCCTTCTGAGTCTCAGTTTCCTGAGCTGTAAGTTGGGGAAACAGTGTCTGTCTCACAGGAGCAATGTGAAGGACGATGAGATAGTAACTGCCTGGCACATGGCAGCTTCGGTGCCAGCACCGAAAATGTCCTAGTATATTGCTCAGCTCAGCTTCCTGCCAGTGACCCCACCTTCCAGACCTAGGTTGGCTTGAACACCAGACCTGCCATAAGCTTGACCTTTGAGATGGATGCAGGATTAGTCCTGATGTTTACCTTGACTCAGCTTCCTAAGATGAGGTGACTGAGCTGGGTAGGATAGGGCAGGTGAGGGAAGTATTCTCGCACCACTTCTCTGTGGGTTGCTGTGGCAACCTTGGACCAGCAGAGGCCAGTAAATAGTGTGGACTGGGCCCCTTGGTTTAGCTCAGCCCATGTCTGCAGAATCTCCTCCCACAAAGTAGCTACCTCTTGTTGCCTAGTAACAAAATGAAGAACTGTAGGTTCCCAGTGAAGAAACACGGTGTTCAGATCTCAGGGCTGAGGTTCTGGGGGTTGCAGAGGAGCTTGCAGCATTTAGGGACCTGTGCTGAGTACAGCTTCTCACCTCAAGAACTGGAGGAGCTTACTGGGAGATGGCAGGAGCTTGCCGAGGCAGGTAACCTTTTGCTCCCAAGCCTATGACTCTTGCTCTAGAGCAGAAGATCCTGGGGTAGGAAGAGAGACAGGGCTGGAGATGGATGGGACATGGAGTCTCGAATGCCACTTAAGGAAGAGAAAGAGCTTAACCTATGCCTAGCATCATACCAGGTGCTTTGCATTTAGTTCTAACTACATCCTTGGAGGTAGATTGTTACTGTCCCCATTTTACAGATGAGAAAATTGAGGTTCAACATCACATAGCTGGTGGGCAATGAAGACAAGTCTTGTTTGGCTTCAAGGTCATTCCTCATAGTCCAGAGAACCCTGAGTGCTGAAGAGGAGGAGCACTGGCTTTCTGTGATTCCAAGTGGGACCAGTCCTGGGCACCTGCTCATCCATCTGTTGTCCCAGCCACCAGTGTCCCTAATGCCCACTTCTGGGCTTAATACACCAGGGGGCGCTCAACCTGTGGTCCGGACCTCATCACTTTGTGCAGTGGAATGAGCTGGCAATGGGCCACTTTATCCTAATCAGACATTCGGTGCACCCTGTTGTTCACAGGAGGGCCTAAAATGAAGTCAATATCCCCCACCTTCGAGAAGCTTCCAATCTTTGGGCAGAGGGTAGAGACAGGAAAGCCATGTGGTAGGCGCTATGATGGGGCAAGAGCACAGCTGTGGGCACATAGAACCTCTGCTCTGTGCTAGGCCCATGTTGGGCAGAGACGTATACCACCACCTTCCAGGTGCCCACATTTCTCTCCGTAGCATGACGAGATGAGCACGTCCCCGGGAACCCAGCTGATGGCATCTGAGTTCAGGGCTGAGTGTGGACCAGAGACATGGTCATTGCCGTGCATGGCCGAGGAAGAAGAGTTGGGGTGGGCTCTAGGGCACAGGCCATGTTCCCTGCGGAACTGGCATTTGGCTGGGACTCAAAAGGCAGGATTTGGGCAGCTGGAGAAAGAATTGGGCCTTCCAGGTGGCAAAGAGGCAGGGAAGAGAGTCAGGGATTCTGAGTTCAGAATCCTGCACCTATTTTTTATTTGCCTTGTAACCTTGGGCAAGTCATTTGCCTTGCTGAGGCTCGGGTTCTTTCCTGAAAAATGAAAGGAGAATAAAGCCTATTTCTCAGGGCTACCTGGAAAAGAGAATGTGGTACATATAAATTAAAGTATCTAACAGGGCTTGTGGCACAATGTTGCTGTTTAATGCTTGTTTATTTTATTCATTTCAGGCAGAAAGCGGGATTTGGGATTTGGGATTTGGCTTTTAGCAGCAATAGTGTGGATAGCCATCCAGGGTGAGAACTCTCTGGATCCCCTCAGCACCTAGGTGCACGTGGTACCCTAAGGCACACCGGGGCTCCATTTGCCCTCCCTCCCTTCTGGGAGTGGACTGGGCATCCCAGGCCCCCTCCCCCAGCTATCTCCGGAGCTGGACCCCTTTGAAGCGCCTGCAGGTCTATTTTGAGAGCTGAGCGTCTCCCCTCCCCTCCTCTCTTCCTGTTTATGAAACCCTGATCCCTCCCGGATCCCTCATGCTCCCCTGGCCAGAGCTTAGGCAGGATGTGACTGTGGACTTCAGGGAGCCTTGGGCAGCCTCAGGTGTTGGGAGGAACTTCCCTTGGCCTGGTCAGAGAAGGCCAGCCACCCTCCTAGTACCTGGGGCCCTGTGGCTGGGCTCTGTCCCTTCAGCCTGCCCAGGGGAGACCCCACAGCAGTAAGACTAAGTAAACCTGGGAGAAGTTCTGTTTCCAACATCCCCTTGTCTCTGTGGCCCATTTTGCTTCTAGAAACAATCTGAGAGTGGAGCATATTGTTCTAACCTTCATTTTACAGAGGAGGAAACCGAGGTTCAGACAGGGAAACAGATTTGCCCGGGAGCACCCAGCTAGTGAGTGGCCAGCTCTTCCTGACTTCCCACTCTACCCTCCTGGCCTTAAGCCCCTTGGTCACACAGGTCTTTCTCTACCTGGAGTGTCTTTTTTTCCTCCTTTCTGCCTGGCCAACATTTGTTCATCCTCAGGACCCAGCTGGGCTGCCCCTCTCTGGAAGGTCTTTCTTGACTTCATGCACTGGCAAATAGTCACCACCTCTGGGCACCCACAACACCTTGATTATGGCTGTCTCAGGATAGTTGTGGTTTTTTGGTTTTGTTTTTGTTTTGAGGCAGGGCCTCCCTCTGTTGCCCAGGCTGGAGTGCAGTGGTACAACCACAGCTCACTGTAGCCTTGACCTCCTAGGCTCAAGTGATCCTCCTACCTCAGCTACCGGAGTAGCTGGGACTACAGGCGCACGCCACTATGCCCAGCCAGGAGTTCAACACAAGCCTGGGCAACACAGGGAGACCCATCCTCTACAAAAAACAAAATTTTTTTTTGAGATGGAGTTTCACTTTTGTTGCCCAGGCTGGAGTGCAATGGCACGATCTTGGCTCACCACAACCTCCGCCTCCTAGGTTCAAGCGATTCTCCTGCCTCAGCCTCCGTAGTAGCTGGGATTGCAGGCATATGCCACTATGCCCGGCTAATTTCATATTTTTAGTAGAGACGGGGTTTCTCCATGTTGGTCAGGCTGGTCTCGAACTCCCGACCTCAGGTGATCCGCCCACCTCGGTCTCCCAAAGTGCTGGGATTACAGGCATGAGCCACCGCGCCCGGCCCTCTACAAAAAATTTTTTAAAAATTAGCCAGATGTGGTGGTACGCACTTGTCCTCCCAGCTTACTCCATAGGCTGAGGTGGGAGGATCGCTTGAGCCCAAGAGGCTGCAGTGAACCATGATTATGCCACTGCACTCCAGCCTGGGCAACAGAGTGAGACTCTGTCTCAAAAAAAAAAAAAAAATGCCGGACACAGTGCCTCACACCTGTAATCCCAGCACTTTGGGAGGCCGAGGCGGGCAGATCGCCTGAGCTCAGGAGTTTGA
Organism: Homo sapiens; assembly: GCF_000001405.40. Taxonomy (NCBI): domain Eukaryota; kingdom Metazoa; phylum Chordata; class Mammalia; order Primates; family Hominidae; genus Homo; species Homo sapiens. The sequence goes on from NW_009646195.1 coordinate 28,973, forward strand.
GACCACCCTGGGCAACATGATGAAACCCTGTCGCTACTAAAATACAAAAAATTAGCCAGGCATTGTGGAGTGTGCCTGTAGTCCCAGCTACTCGGGAGGCTGAGGTACGAGAATCACTTAAGCCCAGGAGACGGAGGTTGCAGTGAGCTGAGATCTCACCACTGCACTCCAGCCTGGGCAGCAGAGTGAGACTCCCTCTCAAAGAAAAAAAAGGCTGTGTGCGTGCAGCAACTGCTCAATCAGTAGGAGGCACACTTACCATCATCTCTCCATGCCAGTCCTGACCTAGTGTTGGAGGCCAGCTCCCCCTCAAGGCTGCCAGGGAGCTGTGGACCCCTCCTCACCTGCCTGGAGGCACGCTGGGAGATGTGTCTGAGGACATCTGTCCCACTGAGGGAGGGGGTAGCGCCTGGAAGGGCCCTGCAAATGCTGCCAGCTGGGGAAGGGGCTTTTGGTGTCCGTTAGGGCCAGGATTGGCAGGTGGGCTTGGCTACAGCTGGCAGGGTGGGAACCCTAGAGACCACGGATCAGGCCTGGGGGCTCTGGGCTTCTCTTCCAGCTGCCCTGTAGGAGGAAGTAAATAAAGAGGAAGTCCCTATGCGGGGGATGGGGCAGGGACCAAGGGATGTGGGCTGGTGGCTGTCCTCCCCCCGCCCGCCACCAGAGGCCTCAGGGCCCACACAGCCTTCAGCAAAGGCAGTTCTGAGACTGTTTCCTTCCTGTTGCCCCTTCTGGTACCCTGCTGGCCACAGAGGCTCGTGTGGACTAGGCCCCTTGGTTTATCTCAGCCCGTATCTGGAGAGTCTCCTCCCACAAAGTAGCTACCTCTCTACCTTCTTTGCATCTGAGGGACCAGGGGTTGGTAGGGAGGGTGAGCTTTGGGGCTTCCGAGAGCTGCCCCAGCCTCCAAACCCCTGTCTGAGGAAGCTGGAGAGCAATGAGAGGCTTGGCTGAGGGAGGCATCTTTCACAATCTCCCGGCAGCCATCCACCCGCAGAGACTCTGCAAGGACAGGGAAGGGGAAGTCCGTGTGTGCGTGGGGGCATGTGTTTCTGCATAGGGGTTGTCTGCGGACAGGGTTTCCGATCATCGGCCTGAGTGTGTGTGTGTGCATGTCAGTGCCTGTGCTGTGCTGGTATGAGTGATGAAATGAGGCCACGTAGAAAGGGGCTGGGCCTGGTCAACCCCTGCCCCATAGCTGCCTGCTCCTCCTCTCAGACCTCTGTGAGGTCCTTGGTCAGGCTTTCTGCCCGCCTTACCCATCCTGGGGCTTGGGACTGGCAGCCTTCTTCGGGGCAGCTGAGCAGGGCAGGACCGGAGGGGGGCCACTGGTGCCTGCTTTCTGGGCTGCCATTGTGGGTGGGCATAGCCATGGGAAGGATGCTATGGAGGGGTGGGACACAGTATCTAAGCTCTGGACTGGACAGTCGGACAGTGGCCTTTGCTGACTTTTGCCCCACATTCTCTCAGGTCCTCCCCTCACGTGGATGTTTGCGGGTGCTGATATGCCCACTGTGACACTGCGTTATCGCCTTGTGACTTTTGTCTCTGCTCTTGTCTCTCCTCCTTAGAGTCAGAGGACATAGGGAGAGGTGTGCCCCTGGGCCTTCCCTGGGGTCATGGGCTTGGGGTCTGCAGTGTCCCCTCCTCTATAGAGGAGCCTGACCCATCATCTGCCCCTCCTCCCTGCAGAGGGGGAAGTGAGAAGGAGGGGGGCCAGAGACCCTGCCTTCTGGGCCAGGAAGGCTAAAAAAAGCAGAAGTAGGAAGAGTAACGGGGCCCTCTGGTCACCGGCTTGAGCCCCACCATGCAGACCCCAGCAGATTTCCCCAGGGTTGAGAGAGACTTGGTTCCCTGTCCCAGAAAGGTGAGCAGAAGAGTCGCCTGCCTCCAGCGGTGTCTGTCACCATGACTGGGCAAGGAATGGGTTTGGGGGTGGCTCTGTCCCTTGGGATTTCTGGGTGGTTTCCTGTCTCTGTCCCCAGGGAGTGCTCTCAGTCAGAGGCAGACAGGTGAGGTGGAGGTTCAGATCTCAGGGTGGGGTGTGCAGGTATTGCCATGTGGGCTTGGCCCCCTCTTAGTCCCTCTTTGAGCCAGGCTTTCTGCCTGTCCCGCCAGGAGGTTACACTCAGGGGTCTGATTTGACTGCAGTTTTGTGGTGTTTTTGTGGGGCTGTTCCACCCACTCCTCCATCTGTCAGGAAGGGTTAGGTATCTTCCCCTGAAGATAAGATTGTGTCTCCGAGGGCCAGGACCTACAGTGGGAGGTCACAGACGGACCCTAGTACTGAAGGAGAAGGGGTTTTAGGCAGATGTGGGTGGGCAGGACGTGGCTCTGGCTGATTGACCTGCCCACACTTTCCTGGCATTTGATGCCTGCTGACCCCAGGCCAGGCAGTAAGCAGGGAGGCGCCTGGGTCCAAGCTACCTCTGCCACTGTTTGCTTTGAGCCTTGGTGAGTCACTGTCTTCTGGGCCTCAGTTTCCTATTCCTGGAATGAGGATAACAGTTTTTAGGATATGATCAGAGTCAAAGACATCAGATTGCACTCAGGAGATAGTCCTCTCAGCTACTGTCTGGGTCCCCCTCAGGTCTTGGCATAGGAGGAAAATCCTAGGGAAATGGGAGATCTCAGAGGTGGGTCTGCAAGAAATACGAGAGTCCTCTCCTGAGTGGTGGGAGTTTGCAGATTGTCTCCCCTCATCTCTTTCCCCACCCCAGGTACAGCAGCAAGAACCCACAGCTCTGCCCTTAACCCCTTCCTGGGGATCCCTGCCCTGCTGCCTGCCCGTGTGTCTGCCAGGTGTCAGACCTATCTGCCCTAGGTATTGTCAGTCTGCTTGGGGCTCGCTGACTCTCCCGCTGTCTCTCTTTGCTGCCTACCTCTGTCTGTGGTTGGGTTCCAATCTCTGTCTCCACTTGATAAGTGCCTGACTTCACCTTTTGGGTACATGTCACATGTTAGGTGCCTGTTGTTCATGTCCCCTTCTGTCTCTGCCTGTTGGGTTTATGTCTTCATCTGTCTCTGCCTGTTGGATACCTGTCCCCTTCTGTCTTTGCCTGTTGGGTTTGTGTCACCATCTGTCTCTGCCTTTTGGATACATGTCCCCTTCTGTCATTGCCTGTTGGTTTTTTTTTTGAAACGGAGTCTCACTTTGTCGCCCAGGCTGGAGTGCGGTGGTGCGATCTTGGCTCACTGCAGCCTCCCCCTCCCAGGTTCAAGCCATTCTCCTGCCTCAGCTTCCCAAGTATCTGGGATTACAGGTGCCCACCACCACGCCCAGCTAATTTTTTGTATTTTTAGTAGAGACGGGGTTTCACCGTGTTAGCCAGGATGGTCTCGATCTCCTAACCTCGTGATCCACCTGCCTCGGCCTCCCAAAGTGCTGGGATTACAGGCGTGAGCCACCACGCCCAGCCTGCCTGTTGGGTTTATGTCCCCTTCTGTCATTGCCTGTTGGGTTGGTATTCTCTTCTGTCTCTGCCTATTGGAGATGTGTTCCTCCTGCCTTTGCCTGTTGGGTACATGTCCCCATCTGTCTTTACCTATTGGGTATATGTCCCCATCTGTCTCTGGCTGTTGGGCTTGTGTCCCTATCTGCCTACACACATTGGGGATGAGTCTCTGTCCACCTCTGTCTGTTAGATATGAGTCCCCTCCTGCTTCCCCTTGTCAGGTACGTGTCTCCATCTGTTTTCTATTGGATATGAATTCCTCCTGCCTCTGCCTGTTGGGTGCGTGTCCTTATCCTCCATCCCTGCCTGTTGGGTATGTGTTCTCTCCTGCCCCTGCCTGTTGGATGCCATTCTTTCTTTTTCTTTTTCTTTTTTTTTGAGATGGAGTCTTGCTCTGCCACCCAGGCTGGAGTGCAGTGGCGCTATCTCGGCTCACTGCAAGCTCCGCCTTCCAGGTTCATGCCATTCTCCTGCCTCAGCTCCCGAATAGCTGGGACTACAGGAGCTGACCACCACGCCTGGCCAATTTTTTTTTTTTTTGTATTTTTAGTAGAGACAGGGTTTCATCATGTTAACCAGGATCGTCTCGATCTCCTGACCTCATGATCCGCCCGCCTCAGCCTCCCAAAGTGCTGGGATTACAGGCATGATGGATGCCATTCTTACCTGTTTCCACCTGTTGGGTGCCTGCTTCTGCCTGTTGGGTGTCTCTCTTCGTCTGCCTCCACATATCAGGCACCTGTCTTTGTCTGTTGGGTACCTGTTTGCTATTGGGTACCTCTCTGCTGTTGGGTACCAGTCTGCTCAGCAGCTGCATTGGCAGGGGACTTTCCCTTTGTAGGCCCACAGGGAGGATGGGGGAACGGCCAGAGGGCAGCCCTCAGGCTCTGAGGAGAGGGGGAGAGAGAGGAAGGGAACGTGGTGAGGGTGTAGGCCTGGTGCTGGGAAACCACAGGCCCTGAGTGATTGGCTGCCCTGGGCCAGGCCCAGCCCCCGCCCTTACCCTGCACATCCGCCTTGGTCCCGGCCACCACTGCGGCAGCCCCGGACTCTGCCTGCTCCTGCCATGGTGCCGTGGCCCTGCTGGGCGGATGGAGCAGGATCCCAAGCCGCCCCGTCTGCGGCTCTGGGCCCTGATCCCCTGGCTTCCCAGGAAGCAGCGGCCCAGGATCAGCCAGACCTCTCTGCCTGTCCCTGGCCCTGGCTCTGGCCCCCAGCGGGACTCGGTGAGTGTGCCCGAATGTCTGGTCCTGACCTGGCTGTGTCCCTTGCAGCAGGTGCCTGGGAAGCCAGCTTAACATAAGCTGGCTTTGGGCTGTCCTGGCCCAGGCCTGGCCCTGCAGGGTGACTGGACCCTGCCCAGACTTGCTTCCTGGGGAAGTGAGGAGGCACTTCAGGGCTTCAAGGCAATGGCAGCAGATTGGAGGGAGGGTAGAGTCCTGGAAAGGCTAGGACCTGGCAAGGGGCTTCCAGTAGGTTTGTATGAGGGAAGTTTGGGAAGTTGAGCCATGCAGTCTTTGGCCTTAACTCTGACCTGCCCCAGGCCAGCACTTACCTAGTTGATGGGGGAGTTTGGGTGACTCTTGGGTCTTTGTGCACGTCAGCCCTGTCCTGCTGACCAGAGGGATCCCCTCATCCCATCCTGACCAGGAACGAAGGCCCAGCTCTACCTCCCCATATGAGAACAAGCCTACTTCCTATTGTGGCAACACTAAAACAACAGGGGGAGGGAAGCCCCACGGGCGGACCTGGGGCAGGTCTCTGGGTCTCAGCCAGAGCCTGGGGTTGACTCAGCCTGGCCATGCCTGGGCATCCCTTTGGGCCTAACCAGGCCAGAGCATCGTGAGCAATAGGAGCGGTGCCTGTTCTGGTTTGACCTCCCCAGACTTTGAGGCTCTTTTGAAATCGATGACCCTGGAGGCTAGCCCTTCAGGGAAGTCGTCTATTGGGCCTTTAGGTTCCATCTGCTGTGGTCTGGTGGGAATGGACTTGGGCAGGGGAGCCTCCTGCTGCCTGGATGGGGCCCACCATGCCCACCAGCTCTGTCCCTCCATCAGGATGAGGGCGTCCTCAAGGAGATCTCCATCACGCACCACGTCAAGGCTGGCTCTGAGAAGGCTGATCCATCCCATTTCGAGCTCCTCAAGGTTCTGGGCCAGGGATCCTTTGGCAAAGTGAGTCATGAGCCCATAGCTGTGAAGGCAACACTCGTCATGTTAGAGGTGGGGGTCAAGGGTCACCTAGGGGCCCAAAGGATCAGAGGTCACCTTGGTACCCAGGGAGAGCAAAAAGGTCAGCTTGGGGCTCAGAGAAGATAGAGGTCAGCCTGGACTCAGACCTCTCCCATCTTCTGCCCTGCTTCCTGCTCTGCCTTCTCAGGTCTTCCTGGTGCGGAAAGTCACCCGGCCTGACAGTGGGCACCTGTATGCTATGAAGGTGCTGAAGAAGGCAACGCTGAAAGGTGAGTGGGGACACCTCCCTGTGCAGAACCCAGGCTTGGCTGAGGGAGGCAGCCCAGACTTCAAGGGCCTTGGGTCTGGCAAGGGAGACAGCTCTGTCTTCAGGAGCACCTAGTTCAAAGGTGGAGAAACAGGCCTATTTCTCAGCTATCCCTCGCCAGCCAATCCTCCTCCCCCTAAGCCAAGTGCTAGTGACTGGCTGTGAAGGTCTGGAAGGTGGTAATAGGGTAAATGCAATGTGTTTGTCAGGGGGCGGGGCCCTCAACTACCAAGCTGGTCAAGCAGAGGCATTCTGACTGTTGATGCTAGAAGAGTCTGGGGGAGACCTCTGTGGCCCCTAACTCAGGGGCCTGAGAGAAGGGCGTGAGTGAAGAGGCAGGGAGCCCAGGGAGGCAGCTGGGCTAGGCAAGAGAGGGTGAGTCCAGGCAGGGCCACAGAGCTGGATGGCAGAGAGGTTCAGAAGGGAGCCCCGAGCCAAGGTTAGAGTTCTGGGGACTTACAAAGGGTGTGAAGATGGTTGGTAGTGGGCTTTGGGTTGGATACTGACCACTTGGCCTGGGAACCAGTGTGACCACTGACCCGGCAGAGTCATAGCCAAGTCTCTCTTTAAATAAGTCAAGGCCGGGCGCGGTGGCTCACACCTGTAATCCCAGCACTTTGGGAGGCTGAGGTGGGCGGGTCATTTGAGGTCAGGAGTTCAAGACCTGACCAACATGTTGAAACCCCGTCTCTACTAAAAATACAAAGAAATGAGCTGGGTGTGGTGGTGTGCACCTCTGATCCCAGTCAGAGCCAAATCCTAGCTGGGGAGGTAGTGGGGGCAGTAGGAGGCGTCAGCCTTAAGGACGTTATGGGTGGCTTTGGTATCCTAAGGCCAGCCTGGTGGGTGTGGAAGTCATCCCCCAGGAGGTATGGTGGCAGCTTCAGAGGGAGGAGAAAGATGAAAAGCCTGGGTCCCTGCTGTGAAGGGCTCACAGGCTGGGCAGGAGAGGCTAAGCATACCCGACAGTGTGGTGCAGCCGGTGCTGTGACTGGTGTGCGTGGATATCCGACGCGCTGGGGAGCTGGGAGTGGTGGTGTAGTCTTGTAGAGGGTGGGCCCAGAGGCCAAGGGGACACCTAAGGAGCGGGAAGCCTTGGAGGATGAGTGGATTTCTCTAGACCAAAAATGTTTGAGGAAGGGGACCCTGGGAAGGAGAAACTGTTTGCCTGAACTAAAGTGTAGAGGTGGTTTGAAAATGTAAGGTAAGCTGGGTGCTGTGGCTCATACCTGTAATCCTAGCACTTTGGAAAGCTGAGGCGAGTGGATCACTTGAGGTCAAGAGTTCGAGACCAGCCTGGCCAACATGGGAAAACCCCATCTCTACTAAAATACAAAAATTATCTGGGTATGCTGGTATGCACACCTATAGTCCCAGCTACTCAGGAGGTTGAGGCACAAGAATTGCTTGAACCCAGGAGGTGGAGATTGCAGTGAGCCGAGATCGCGCCACCATACTCCAGCCTGGGCGATGAGAGCGAAACTCCATCTCAGAAAAAAAAAAAAAGAAAAAAGAAAATGTAAGGTGACCAAAATAGTTAACTCCGGTGTGGTCCTTGTCATGTCTAATGAGGAAAACACAAAAATTAAAACAGAAGAAGGGGACCAGCTCCTGCAGCCCTGTGTGCTGACATAGAAGGTGTGTTGGAAGGCAGCTGCAGCTTCTACTTGTAGCAAGGGCCAAGGATTGTGTCCTGAACAAGACTCCGGAAAGACATGCAGGAGGAGTACATTGGCCAGATCTCCTAAGATAAGCAGCTGTGAGCATCAATTCTGGAATGGCAGTGACGAATGAATAGAATTCATACTAGATGGATGGACTAGTGAAGGCTTTGGGACTATGAGGCTGGAGAGGAAACTGCCAATCCAGTACATGGACCAAAAAAGCCTTTAGTTTTGCATTGTGTGTATTGCTCAGACATTTTGTCTGGTCTTAGTAAGCACTCCCTAGCCTTCCACCTCTCCTTTTAATAAAAGTCAAGGCTGGGTGCGGTGGCTCATGCCTGTAATCCCAGCACTTTGGGAGGCCAAGGTGGGTGGATCATTTGAGGTCAGGAGCTCAAGACCAGCCTGGCCAACATGGTGAAACCCTGTCTCTACTAAAAATACAAAAAAAATGAGCCAGGTTTGGTGTGTCTGTAATCCCAGCTACTCAGGAGGCTGAGGCACTAGAATCGCTTGAACCTGGGAGGCAAAGGTTGCAGTGAGCCAAGATCACACCACTGCACTCCAGCTTGGGTGACAGAGTGAGACCCTGTCCCATTAAAAAAAAGTCAAAGGACACATGAGAGGTCTCAGTCAAGGGGTAATCAATATTGTGATAAACTTAGTTGAAACACACTGCCCAAAATGAACCTAGGCAGCCATGTCCAAAAGCCTGTTCTTTTTTTTTTTTTTTTTTTTTTCTTTCCCGAGATGGAGTCTCACTCTATCGCTCAGACTGGAGGGCAGTGGTGTGATCTCGGCTCACTGCAACCTCCGCTCCGCAGGTTCAGGCAATTCTCCTGCCTCAGCCTCCTGAGTAGCTGGGATTACAGGCACATGCCACCACGCCTGGCTAATTTTTGTATATATATTTTTTTCTTTTTTGAGACGGAGTTTCACTCTCGTTGCCCAGACTGGAGTGCAATGGTGCAATCTCGGCTCATCACAACCTCTGCCTCCCGGGTTCAAGTGATTCTCCTGCCTCGGCCTCACGAGTAACTGGGATTACAGGCCCACGCCACCACGCCTAGCTAATTTTGTATTTTTAGTAGAGACAGGGTTTCTCCATGTTGGTCAGGCTGGTCTCAAACTCCTGACTTCAGGTGATCCGCCTTCCTCAGCCTCCCAAAGTGCTAGTATTACAGGCATGAGCCACCACGCCTGGCCAATTTTTTTTTTTTTTTTTTTTTGAGGCAGAGTCTCACTCTGTCACCAGGCTGGAGTGCAGTGGCGTGATCTCGGCTCACTGCAACCTCCGCCTCCTGGGTTCAAGCGATTCCCCTGCCTCAGCCTCCTGAGTAGCTGGGATTACAGGCACGTGCCACCAGGCTGGCTAATTTTTTGTATTTTTTACTAGAGACAGGGTTTCACCATGTTGGCCAGGATGGTCTCGATCTCCTGACCTCATGATCTGCCTGCCTCGGCCTCCCAAAGTGCTGGGATTAGAGGTGTGAGCCACCACGCCTGGTCCCAATTTTTGTATTTTTAATAGAGACAGGGTTTCACCATGTTGGCCAGGCTAGTCTCGAACTCCTGACCTCAAGTGATCCTCCTGCCTCAGCCTCCCAAAGTGCTGGGATTACAGGCATGAGCCACTGTGCCCGGCCCAAAAGCCTGTTCTAATCAGACTAGTGAAATCAATAAAACATGATACTTGGTGGGCTTCAATAAATTTAGAAGGCAACCTGAAAAAGAGAAAAGTGCTCCAAAGGAGAAGCACAAGCACTGTAGGAATCCAGAAGGCCCTAACCCAGCTTGGCAAATTAAGGAGCGCTTCCTGGAGAAGGTGAGGCCTAAGCTGAGTCAAAGAACCTGCTGAGAATCAGAACTGCCCAATAACTTGTATTATTTAAAAAAATAAATAAATAATATGAAGGGTGCCCACCCAGACCCATAGATCGGGATTTTAGGCCCAGGGATCCAGCTCACCAGGTAGCCGTTCTTACCAGCCCCGAGACCAGAATTTGGGAATTTTTATGCCAGATGGAAAGCAGAGCTGGTGAAGGCATGCCAGGGGGAGGTGCAGAGGCAAAGTCTGAGGATCTGACAAAGCAGAGAACCCTGGGGGAGCAGGTTGCTCAGACTGGCTGATTAACAGGTCTTGATGGGGTCTGGTGGGAAAAGGGACCAGAGAGATGGGCAGGGTGCCAAGGCCCCAGCTGTGGGCACTGCTGTGAGGGGTGGGGACAAGGAGCCAGCCAAGGAGCCAGAAACAGACTGGCAAGGAGGAAACCTGAGGATTGAGTGTCCCCAAAGCCCTGGGTGAGGGGGCTTTGGGAGCTCAGGCCTGGAGGAACAAGTGGAAAAGAGATCCCTTAGCGGGGGCTTGGGAGTGGCTGTGTTGAGTGTCTAGGCTACTGGTGACTTCCTTTCTCGTCTGGCCAGTACGTGACCGCGTCCGGACCAAGATGGAGAGAGACATCCTGGCTGATGTAAATCACCCATTCGTGGTGAAGCTGCACTATGGTAAAGCTTCTGGCCCTGCCTGAGCTCCTACCCCACCCATCCTTCGCCCTTGCCTGTGGTCTGTACACTGTCCCACCGCCTGCCTGGCAGGCCAAGGGAGCCAGGGCCGGAGAAGCAGATCATAAGGCCGCGCCGACTCTACCATTGCCTTTCTCCCTCTTCCCAGCCTTCCAGACCGAGGGCAAGCTCTATCTCATTCTGGACTTCCTGCGTGGTGGGGACCTCTTCACCCGGCTCTCAAAAGAGGTGAGCTGACATCTACTGCCAGAGGGCCCCGGGATGGAGCTGAGGGACGACAAGTCCTCCCATCCCAGGGCCCTGTACAGAATGTGTTTGGTATGGCTTGAACCTGGAACCACCCAGGCCTGCCTAGCAGCCCCTGGCCCAGGAAATACCACGCACCCTGGAATGGAGGCCATACGCTGGCAAGGTCTCTGAGAGTTTCTCCCAAGGAAACTCCAGGGAGCTAAGGGTTCCTCTCACCTCTGCACCTGCCTTCTTCCAGGGCTGCTCTGGGCAGAGGTGTGAAGATAGGGGAGAAGCCCAAAGTCACCCAGAGAGCCAGAGACTTTAGCAGTCATCTTGCGTATGTCATCCAAAAGGATTTTGAACCAATATAAAAGGATTTGAGGCTGGGCGCAGCGGCTCACGCCTGTTATCCCAGCACTTTGGGAGGCCGAGGTGGGCAGATCAGGAGGTCAGGAGATCAAGACCATCCTGCCCAACATGGTGAAACCCCGTCTCTACTAAAAATACAAAAATTAGCTGGGTATGGTGGAGTGTGCCTGTAATCCCAGCTACTCAGGAAGCGGAGGCACAAGAATCGCTTGAACCCAGGAGGCAGAGGTTGCAGTGAGCCAAGATCGCGCCACTGCACTCCAGCTTGGCAACAGAGCGAGACTCTGTCTCAAAAAAAAAAAAAAAAAAAAAAAGGATTTGAGCTAGAAAATGGGACCATTCGTACAATTCAAACTTTAAAGAGAATCTAGCTTTTTTTTTTTTTAATTGTAATTTTTTTTTTTTTTTCAGATGGAGTTTTGCTCTTGTCACCCAGGCTGGAGTGCACTGGTGGGGTCTCAGCTCACTGCAACCTCCGCCTCCCGGGTTCAAGCAATTCTCCTGCCTCAGCCTCCCGAGTAGCTGGGATGACAGGTGCACGCCACCACGCCTGGTTAATTTTTGTATTTTTGGTAGAGACAGGGTTTCTCCATGTTGGCCAGGCTGGTCTCGAACTCCTGACCTCGGGTGATCCGCCTGCCTCAGCCTCCCAAACTGCTGGCTGGGATTATAGGTGTGAGCCACCGTGCCCGGCTTAAATTGTGATTTTAATGTTTGAATAGGTAATATACATGATTCAAAAGAAAAATATTCATGAAGAAGTCTTCCTCCCACCCCAGCCCCCTCTATTCCCATCTATAGGTAAACATTTTTATTGGTTTCTTGTTTAACTTTCCCATGTTTCTTTTGCAAACAAATCCGATATATGTTCATTCCTACCCCCATTTCCTTATGTAAAAAGTACTATTCTGTATACACTGTTCTGTACCTTGCTTTTTTCAAGATAGTATATCTTGGAGCTCACTCCATGTCAGAACACGGAGAAACTCCTTGTTCCAGTTCATGGCTGCAAAGCACTCCATTATGCAGGGGAGAGGGCTGATTCCAGCCTTCTACTCTTGGACCCTAGGCCTGTTTCCCACCCCTTCTATTTCTGAATGGTGCCACAATGAGTGGCTTGCGTATTAGTCATTTCATACTTCAAATCCTTTGTATGATGAGAAGGCTATATGGCCTGGGGTTTCCAAGGGTCCTCCCAGGGTGGCTCTTCAGGACCAGGAAGCTGCTGACTGCCCAGTGCCCCAGCTCTTAAGGAAGAGGAGGTCCCTGCTGAAGGCCCCTCCTGTCTTTTGCAGGTGATGTTCACGGAGGAGGATGTGAAGTTTTACCTGGCTGAGCTGGCTCTGGGCCTGGATCACCTGCACAGCCTGGGTATCATTTACAGAGACCTCAAGCCTGAGAAGTGAGTGAAGCCTCCAGCCCCACCCCAGCCTCCCCAGGGGAGGCCTCTTCTAGGACAGGGCCATCCTGAGGTGGGTGGGCATGGCTTTCTCCAGAAACGTCTCCCTCTCTTGGGCAATCTGAGGGATGGGTGAGTGGGGTGGGTGGTAGTGCCAGCTGCCCAGTCACTAATGCTACCATTACCAAGGGCCAGGTACTTTGCATGCAGGTAATGTTGCCCGTCTTTTTTTGCTAATCTAGTGTGACATTTGAGATGCCACCTTTAGAGGTCTTTCCTTGATAAAGCCCTATAGAATTTTCCCTAATATCTAACTACCCTCAAATGATAACTAAGGAGCCAGGGGCAGGTGGTGAGTTGGAATAAGATCTGGCTTTAGTGTTAGGCAGCCCTGTATTCAAATCCTGTCTCCACCTACTAGCTAGACTTACTAGCTCAATGACTGTAGAGCTACTTAACTGCCCTGAGCCTTAGTTTTCCCATTAGCAAAACGGGGCCCTAATAGTACTTGCCTCACACAGTTGCTTCAAGGATTAGCAAAAAAGATAGGCAACACCCCTGCGTGGTACTGCTACCACCCTGCAACACCCGCCCAGTCATCAGAGAGAATTGGGTGGAGCACCTCCTCTGGGCTGAACCCAACTCCCACAGCCCTGTGGTAACACCATCACCCACACGGCCACAGCTGAGGGGCCCTGACCACTATTTCTCTATTACAGCATCCTTCTGGATGAGGAGGGCCACATCAAACTCACTGGTGAGTGGAGGGCGCCTGCCCCCTCGGGACCCAGGGGAGGACAGGACAAGGTCATGATAGGTCTCGGCTGAGTGCTGGGGGCTCATTCTTCCCGAGAAGCCGTGCCAGTTACTTGGAAGTGGTCAAAAACTCAGGCCTCAGACTTGGAACACCCTCAGCTGGAATCCCAGCCCCTCATTGTGTAACGTTGAGCAAGTCACCTGACCTCTCTGGGCCTTAGCTTCCTCCTGAGTGTCATGGGGGTGATGCCTTCTGGCCTCTGGGCACGGGGGTTGGGTGTGCAAAGGGTGGCAGCAAGGAAGGCAGGGGTCCTAAGGTGTGTCCTCCTGCCCTCCTTGCTGTAGACTTTGGCCTGAGCAAAGAGGCCATTGACCACGAGAAGAAGGCCTATTCTTTCTGCGGGACAGTGGAGTACATGGCCCCTGAGGTCGTCAACCGCCAGGGCCACTCCCATAGTGCGGACTGGTGGTCCTATGGGGTGTTGATGGTGAGTGCCCAGACAGGGGTAAAGGATCCAGCCCAAGCCTCTGGCCTCAGTCTCCCTATCTGTACAGTGAGGGGGTTGATCATTTCTAGGGCTCTCCCCGTCTCCTCTCACAGCCAAGCTGGCCTCACCCTATATGCACCTGCAGTTTTCTTCCTTGGAAGGATCCCAGGCTTGACCCCACCTGGGACGCGCCTAACCCAGTGCTGGCCTTCTCCCCAGCCTCGCGCCCCCACCGCTGCTCCTGGTGGTCTGGTTGGCAGAGGCAAGAGGGACGGGCATAATTCTTGCTCCAGGCTGACTTGGATGTATCAGCAAGAATCCTGGGACTGGGGCAGAGGGGTCTGACTGGGAGGAGGCGGGAGGTGTGTCGGAGACAGGGATCAGAGCCTGAATAGATCCTTGTCCTCTGCAGTTTGAGATGCTGACGGGCTCCCTGCCCTTCCAGGGGAAGGACCGGAAGGAGACCATGACACTGATTCTGAAGTAAGCCCCAGCCCTGCCCTGATAACAATGGACTCCTCCAAGCCCCAGCCCCAGTTTGGGGGTCAGAATATTATTACCCTGTCCCTGCCTCAGCTACCCTCTCTAATGAGACTCTCCTCTGGGTTAAACATTATACCTTCCAGAGCCCCTCTTTCATCCCTGGGGGCCTGTGGGTAGGATCCCTGAAGCCTTTGGGAAGTGAATTAGTGGATGGCTTGTCTAGACTGAGCTGGGAACTAGATCTGGACAGGGGCCGGGGGAGATGGGGCCTCTGGGGCAGGGCTCAGCCTTGATGAGTCCCGGGGGCTGTTTCAGGGCGAAGCTAGGCATGCCCCAGTTTCTGAGCACTGAAGCCCAGAGCCTCTTGCGGGCCCTGTTCAAGCGGAATCCTGCCAACCGGCTCGGTAAGCAGCCCCAGCTCAGGGGAGGGGATGTGGCGATGGGGAGCCGGGTACAGCTGCAGCCTAGGCCACAGGGCCACATCTGGGCTGAAAGGGGCCGTTGTCCTTTGTGTGGGCAGACAATGCCGCGGGCCACCCTGCTTTCTGGCTCCATGTGTGGTGTTGTGGAGGGGGGAGTTGACCTGTGTGTAGGGGGAAGGCAGGAACTGAGTCATCCCTACTCCCTCTGGGGACAAGGACAGAGGCCCCCACACAGCTTCTCCGCCAAGGCTGCTGGCACAAGAGAAATAGCATGAGCTCAGGAGTCAGAAGGCATAGGTCCCAATCCCGGCTCTGTGTCAGGTCCCCACTGCCTGGCACAAAACAGTCCCTCTATAAATATTTGTTAAACGAATGAGGCCACTTATGAACTAAGTGACCCCAGGCAGGTGACTTCACCTCTCTGCACCGCAGGTTCCTCGTCTCAATGGGAGATGATGATCCCAAGCTTGCTTCAGGGCTCTGTTGATGAAATGAGGTTGTGTGAACATGCCGGCATGTAGTAGGTGTCCAGTGTGTGCTGGCTTCCCTGGCTCCTGGGTTCATCTGGTCCATGACCAGCTGTGTAAGGTCCAGTCAAGGCCCCTGGGGTCGAATGGAGTAACAGCCTGTCCTATGGTTGAAAAGGTCAATGGGATAAGAGGAACAGAGATGAGGCTTGCCTTGGAATGAGGTGGGGCTCTCTGTAGGTCTCAGAACAAGCTCAGCTTCTGTTCTAACTGTGTGGCCTTGGAGAAGTTGCCTAAAGTCTCTGGGCCTTCCTCCTCCCACTGGTACATTGGAATTTCTTCATCAGAAGCTCCAGAAAGTGGAAAATGCTGAGTAGGTGACAGGCCTTAGGGTGATGGCTGGGTAGATTTGAGGCTGAGTGAGCCCATTTTCCCCTCTGCTCCAGCAGCTGGTCCCAGAGCCCTGTGAGGCTGCTTGGTGGGCAGGGTAATATCTGGGACTTGTGCCAGCCAGGGACAGACCCTTCATTTGGGCTCTTTCAGGCTCCGGCCCTGATGGGGCAGAGGAAATCAAGCGGCATGTCTTCTACTCCACCATTGACTGGAATGTGAGTGTGTCCACCCACACCAGGGCTCTGGCCAGGGCTCAGCCATCTTGGCCACAGGAAGGGTGGTGGGAGGGGAGCCTCTGCCAGCGAGGGCCCCAGACGCAGGAGCAGAGGGTCACAGCCTGCCCTTGAAGACAAGGGCTGGCCTCCTGAGGGCAAGCAATTCCGAGAGCTGGGCAATATGGCCTATGTTCCAAGCCCAGCACCTCCTCCTGCATGGGGCTCCTGGTGGGCTGTTGAGGATGCCATGGTGACCAGAGTGCCCACCCCACTGTGCAGAAGCTATACCGTCGTGAGATCAAGCCACCCTTCAAGCCAGCAGTGGCTCAGCCTGATGACACCTTCTACTTTGACACCGAGTTCACGTCCCGCACACCCAAGGGTGCGTCCCTTATCTGTTTTGTCTGTCTTGGGCTGGTACAGGAGGGAAGCCGGGAGTCGGTGGCAGCTTGGGGGGCAGAGATAGTCAGGGACACTGACAGGCCGAGGTATGCGGGTGGGCAGGCGGGTGAGTTTCTGGCTCCGTGGGACTGACTTTGTCCCTGTCTCACTCCGCCCGACTCTCTCACTATGGGGCTCTGTGGGTCTCTTTGTGTCTGGTGAGAGAGTGGGAGTGGGGATGTGTGGGTGGTGAAGGCCACAGTAGAAAAGCCAGGACCCCTGCCCGGGGCACCTTCCAGCCCACTGGGAAGACCAAACACATCAGGCTTACCATCACGTCAGGGAGAAAGAATCTGACCCAGCCACACTGTGTGGTGGCTGAGCAGAGGTGACAGTGCCCATAGGTCAGGGACAGGCATGGGAATCAGCTTTGGCTGCCCTGACTGCCCGGCCTCCGTGTACTTATCTGGAACAAGGGCACAGCCACAAACCCACTCATTCCCTGGGGTTGCTACAAGAAGCCAGTGAGGGAGCTTCTGGGAAGGAACCTGGTGAATCCTAACTTTTTGGCCAGATATTGACAGTGGGTGTGGGGTGGAATGTTCTGGGAAACCTCCTATAAGGGCATGTTTTAGGAGAGGGTGTGCTTTTCTTCTCTCCTCTCCTCCCCTCCCCTCTCCTCCCCTCCCCTCCCCTCCCCTCCCCTCCCCTTCCCTCTCCTTCCCTTCCCTCTCCTCTCCTCTTTTCAAGATGGAGTCTCGCTCTGTTGCCCAGGCTGGAATGCAATGGCGTGATCTCAGCTTACTGCAACCTCCACCTCCTGGGTTCAAGAGATTCTCCTGCCTCAGCCTCCCGAGTAGCTGGGATTACAGGCATGTGTCAGCACGCCTGGCTAATTTTTGTATTTTTAGTAGAGACGGGGTTTCACCATGTTGGCCAGGCTGGTCTCGAACTCCTGACCTCAGGTGATCCACAAGGGGGTGCTTTTCTCACTGCACTTGCACGCCTCTGATGACAGAGACAGCACTTCTCCAAGCAGTCCGCTGGGCAACGTGACAAGTGCAGCTTCGTAGGAGTCAGGGGCCGGAGGAGCAGCATCAGGCAAGGCTTCTCAGAGGAGGGAGCGTGCGAGTTGAGTCTTGAAGGATAGGCAAGGAGTGGATTATCTAGTTAAAGGGAACAGTGTGTGCAAGGGCTCAGAGACCCCTCTAAGGATCTGAGAAGTCCAACATGGCTCAGCTGTGGTATGGAGAGAGAGGAGGTGAGGATCACAGGGCCCTCAATTGCCAGACTCAGGAGCTGGACTTACTCCTGAAGGCAGACGGGAACCTTTGAAAGGTGTGGGCAGGGTGGCAGATTTGTGGTTGGAACCTTCCCTCTGGCTGCTGTGCAGAGATGGACCTGAAGGGGCTGACGTAAGATGGGGAAGCTGGGGAGGAAGCATCCAGGAAGGGATGAACTGTCTTGGCCTGGGATGGAGGTGGATGTGAGAGTCTTTTTTGTTCCTCATGCGACAGGACTGGGCTGGTCTAATAAACACATATGAGCAGTTGGGCCAAGGCCTGTGATGGACAGGCCCTCTGCAGGCTCCCGCCACGGCCAGCCCCTGAGGCAGGTCTGGAGGCCCTGTGCTCCCCCTTTGCTGGGCTGCCTCAGGGTCGAGGGGACCTCCTCAGGTACCCTCACATTCTCCTTCCATCCGTACAGATTCCCCAGGCATCCCCCCCAGCGCTGGGGCCCATCAGCTGTTCCGGGGCTTCAGCTTCGTGGCCACCGGCCTGATGGAAGACGACGGCAAGCCTCGTGCCCCGCAGGCACCCCTGCACTCGGTGGTACAGGTGAGGGGGGCAGGGGGCTGCTGCTCCATTATCCTTTTCTAAAGAATGGCTGAGTACACAGGCTCTGAGTTGGACAGAACCAGGTTCATACCCTCATGCCACTGTGGGACCAGTAGGGCCTCCAACATAAAACAGGGACAGTAAGGCCCACCTCACACAGTGGCCCTGATAATTGGATGATGATATGGGTGTACATTTCCCAGCACAGAGCCAGGGTCTGGGTACATGTCAGGAGGTGCCCAGGGTGGTGGTGCCGAGTGACTGTCGTGTCTCCGGCATAAGTGTAGCGAAGGACTTGGATCTCATCACACTTGTTCCCCATTTGTACACTTCTACTGCTAATGAAAGTTTCAGGTTGAGAGGCAAGAATGTAGACTGTGGAGCTCATTGCATGGGTTCCAGATTCACAAGATAATGGACTTTGGGGTTTTTTGTTTGTTTGTTTTTGAGACGTAGTCTTGCTCTGTTGCCCAGGCTGGAGTGCAGTGGCACAATCTCAGCTCACTACAGCCTCCACCTCCCAGGTTCAAAAAATTCTCCTGCCTCAGTCTCCCGAATAGCTGGGACTACAGATATACACCACCACACCCAGCTAATTTTTTTTTTTTTTTTTTGTATTTTTAGTAGAGACGGGGTTTTACCATGTTGGCTAGGCTGGTGTCAAACTCCTGACCTCAAGTGATCCGCCCACCTCAGCCTCCCAAGGTGCTGAGATTACAGACATGAGCACCTGACCAGATAATGGACTTTGGATGAGATACTCCCTTCCTCGTGCCTCAGTTTCCTCATCTGTAAATGGGGGAAATGATAGAAGCTTCCTCCATAGAGCTGTTATGAGGATTATTAGAGTTAATACATGTAAAGTTCATGTGGGCTGGGCACGGTGGCTCATGCCTGTAATCCCAGCACTTTGGGAGGCCAAGAAGGGTGGATTGCTTGAGGCCAGGAATTTAAACAGACCCATCTGGCCAACATGGCGAAACCCCGTCTCTAAAAATACAAAAATCAGCTGGGCGTGTTGGCGCGTGCCTATAGTCCCAGCTACTTGGGAGGCAGAGGTTGCAGTGAGCTGAGAACGTACCACTGCACTCCAGCCTGGGCAACAGCGTAAGACTCTGTCTCAAAAAATAAATAAATAAAATAAAAAATAAAGTTAAGGTGACTATGTAATTTATTTTCCAAACTGGGACATCTTAGTCCAGGACAAATATTAAATCAGACTGGATGCAAGGACCGCATGCGCAAGCCAGGGCTGGCCGTGGGGCATGCAGTCACCTGATGAAAGTGCTTAGAATAGTGCCTGGCACACAGCACACACTAAGCACCATTCAGCATTGCTACGGCTAATGTCCCAGAACCTTGAGACACCCCATGAGTTGAGCTGTGACACCCCAGAAAGGGAGGCAGGCCACTCAAAGCCGTACTTAGTGGCACAGCTGGAACTCAGCTCAGGGCTCCTGCGTCCCTCCCAGGCCTGCCCAGACTTTTCAGAACTAAAGTCCTCTCCATGTGTGTTGTGACCCTGTTTCCCACTCCCTACACTGCCCTCTGACCACAGGCTGCAGTCCAGGCAGGCTGGGAGCCAGTGAGTATGCCCATTATATAGAGTAGAAAACTGAGGCCCAGAGAGGGGCAGGCTGTCACCTGCGGTCACATGGCCAACACTCTACCCCAAGTCTCCTGGCCCTTCCCTGGTGCTGTCTCTACTGAGCCAAGACCTTAGGTCCTGGGGGATGACCCCTAGCACTCTAGAGCCAGGGGTCAGCCACAATTTTTGGTCTCCTACAGCAACTCCATGGGAAGAACCTGGTTTTTAGTGACGGCTACGTGGTAAAGGAGACAATTGGTGTGGGCTCCTACTCTGAGTGCAAGCGCTGTGTCCACAAGGCCACCAACATGGAGTATGCTGTCAAGGTGGGCCTCCTGACCACGTCTCGGCCAAGGCTGCTGGGTTGGGGGCAGGTCCCCGTCTGGTGGGGAGGGATGGTGCCTGAGCTCTGCAGATGTATGAAAGGTGTGTGGCCGAGACCTCCTGGCCTGCTCCATGGCCAGAAAGGACCCTGGACCCTGTCACCCTGACACTGCCACATGCACCCCCTTTCTTCAGGTCATTGATAAGAGCAAGCGGGATCCTTCAGAAGAGATTGAGATTCTTCTGCGGTATGGCCAGCACCCCAACATCATCACTCTGAAAGATGTGAGTGGGGGTCCTTAAGACTGGGGTGGGGACCAGGAACTCAACTCTCAGGATTTGTCTCAGGATTGCCATTCCTTTGACTTCTCATCCTCTTTCCAGTGGTCATGTGGAGGGGAAGGAGGTCCCTTGGTCCCTTCAGTCTGCCCATACCCCAAGGGCCCTCCTTCAGACTCAGACATTTTCTGAGGACCTTCTTGCGTATCAGGAGACCAGTGTCAGCATCCTCCTTTTGGGGAAGGCAGGACCACTGAAGAGCAAGCAGAACACCTGCCCAAGGCTCATGTCATTCTTCCCTGCTCTGGGGCGCTGCTGACCAGGGGGCTCAGGCCTGACACTGGGGAGAAGAGCCTGATGGTGAGGTCTTCGGCAGGTGTATGATGATGGCAAACACGTGTACCTGGTGACAGAGCTGATGCGGGGTGGGGAGCTGCTGGACAAGATCCTGCGGCAGAAGTTCTTCTCAGAGCGGGAGGCCAGCTTTGTCCTGCACACCATTGGCAAAACTGTGGAGTATCTGCACTCACAGGGGGTGAGTCTGGATTCGGGGAGGCAGTAGGGGGATGCCAAGGGTCATATCATCAGCAGAGAACATGAACCACCTGCTGGCCCAGGAATGGCAGCCTCCAGCTAGCCAAACTGAGGGGACACTAGGGCTGGGTGGGTGGATGCGTGCAAAGGAAGGAGGGAGAGATGTGGCCAATTGTGAAAGGGAAGGTATGGAAAGTTATTCAGTATCTACTGTGTGCCAGGCACCATGGTAAGGTTTAGCATAAGATGAAGTTTCCAGACCAGGCATGGTAGCTCACGCCTGTAATCCCAGCAACTTGGGAGGGCAACGCAGGTGGATCACTTGAGGTCAGGAGTTTGACACCAGCCTGGCCAACATGGTGAAACCCCATCTCTACTAAAATACAAAAAAATTAGCCGGGTGTGGTGGGGGGCATCTGTAATCTCAGCTACTTGGGAGGCTGAGGCAGAAGAGTGGCTTGAACCCGGGAGGCGGAGGTTGCAGTGAGCCAAGATCACACCATTGCACTACAGCCTGGGCAACAGAGCGAAACTCCATCTAATAAATAAATACATAAATAAGATTTACATTATCTCAATTGATTTTCACAACAACTCTGAGATAGATGCTGTTACTGGCCCCACTTCACAGGTAAGAAGACCGGAGCTCAGAGATGAAAGTTCATTTGCTAAATATCACATAGCCCGGGAAGAATGGAAGAATTTCAGACTGAAGAATTTAGGTGGGGAGTGGCTTTTGAGTTAGGAAGTGGCAGGGTCACCGTGGGGGAGCTGCAAGGCTTCAGGGAGGTGAATTTGACTGGGTTCAGTTGCTAAGGCAGAGGAAATGGATGCAGGAGGAAATTCTGCTGGAAACGTAGCAGGGACTGCAGAAGAGGTATAGGTCCAAATGGCAGGGTCTGGCCTTTATTACTGCACAAGGCAGGTGAGCACTAGATGACGGTGAGGTAGGAAAGTTCATTACAGTGGATTAAAGCCCAAAACAGTAGCATTAGCTTCTCTCTGCATGAGATAATGTTTTAGGGTGCATCTGATCAGACAACATGGGGGTTAAGAATGCAGGCTATGAATCCACCTGGCTGAGTCCAGGTCTTGGTGTATGAGGTTGTTAACTTGTTTTCACATAGTACCCAGTCCATAGACACATTTTTCTCCTATTGTCCTTTTTTTTTTTTTTTTTTTTTTTTTTTGGAGATAGAGTCTTGCTCCTGTCGCCCAGGCTGGAGTGCAGTGGCACGATCTTGGCTCACTGCAACCTCTGCCTCCCGGGTTCAAGTGACTCTCCTGCCTCAGCCTCCCAAGTAGCTGGGATTAGAGGCGCCTGTCACCATGCCTGGCTAATTTTTTTGTATTTTTAGTAGAGATGGGGTTTCACCATGTTGGCCAGGCTGGTCTCAAACTCCTGACCTCAGGTGATCTGCCCGCCTCGGCCTCCCAAAGTGCTGGGATTACAGGTGTGAGCCACCACACCCGGCCCCCATTGTCCTTTCAAAAATGTCTTTTTTGACTGGTTTATTGAAATTAGAATACCTGTAAGTTCCACACATTTCATTCAGTTGGTAAATCTCTCCCCCTTTTTTTTGAGACAGGGTCTCACTCTGTTGCCCAGGCTGGAATGCAGTGACACAATTGCAGTTCACTGCAGCCTTGACCTCCTTGCGCTCAAATGATCCTCCCACTTCAGCCTCCCAAATAGCGGGGACCACAGGCACGCACCACCACACCTGGCTAATTTTGTATTTTTTGTAGAGATGGGGTTTTGGCTTGTTGCCCAGGCTGGTCTTGAACTCTTGAGCTCAAGTGATTTGCCCACCTTGGCCTCCCAAAGTGCTGGGATTACAGGCGTAAGCCACCTTACCCAGCCTCTTTTCTTCTTTTTTAAAACTGGAGGAAAATTTGCATACAGTAGATTTCAAGGGTACATTCTGATGAATTTTGTTAAATGTGTACACCCATGTCGCCTCCACAATTAGACCTCCCTTTTTTATGCCACCGACATATTGTATATGAGTTCTGTGGAATGTCTCACATTCTGAATTTGTCTGTCGGCTGCCTCCTGGATCATTTACATTATTTCTCCATTGTCTATATTTCCTGTAAACTGCAAGTTGCTCTAACATCATTATTAGCTTCAGTTTTTTGGGGGGGATGGGAATGAGGTTCAGATGGCTAAGGTTGGGCTGAGCATGGTGGCTTATGCCTGTAATCCCAGCACTTTGGGAAGCCAAGATGGGCAGATCACTTGAGGCCAGGAGTTCAAGACCAGCTTGGCCAATATGATGAAACCCCATCTCTACCAAAAATACAAAAATTAGCTGGGCATGGTGGCCCATGCCTGTAATCCCAGCTACTCTGGTGGCTGAGGCACAAGAATCACTTGAACCTGGGAGGCAGAGGTTGCAATGAGCTGAAATCACACCACTGCACTCCAGTCTGGATGACAGAGCAAAACCCTGTCTCAAATAAAAAATAAAAATAAAAAAAAGAAGGCCAACGTCATCCAATCTATGGAGGTACACTTCACAGTGCATTACATCCACGAGTGCACAGTGTCATGCTGCCTACCTTTTTAAATTTAATTTTATTTAATTAATTAATTTACTTATTTATTTTTGAGACGGAGTCTCTCTCTGTCGCCCAGGCTGGAGTGCAGTGGCACGATCTCAGCTCACTGCAAGCTCCGCCTCCCAGGTTCACGCCATTCTCCTGCCTCAGCCTCCCGAGTAGCTGGGACTACAGGCGCACACCGCCACACCCAGCTAATTTTTTGTATTTTTAGTAGAGACGGGGTTTCACCGTGTTAGCCAGGATGGTTTCGATCACCTGACCTTGTGATCTGCCCGCCTCGGCCTCCCAAAGAGCTGAGATACCAAGTATGAGCCACCGCGCCCGGCCACGCTGCCCACCTTTAACCATGGCAGGTGGTAACCGTCCGATCTCCTTATTATAAAGATCCTCATCTAATGGTTTCATCCTTTCAGAATCTTGCATGAGTCGAGTATTTCATTAGGGTTGTGAAAGTGGCGATGCCTGATTATGTCTAATTTTTTAGGGGAAATTCTGTAAAAAAGAACTTTACCTCTTAACCAAAGCTCCAGTTTGGTTACCCCCTGTGCTTTTAATTGTCATGTTTGAAGTGGCTTTGGTTTTTGAAATGCCAGTGCAATAGACTAATATTTAAACATGTCAGGTCAGAGAGTAAATGTTTTTCCTTTTTTCTGTTTTGTTCTTAAGTGAGTACTCGTTAAACTTAAAATGGTTTAGAAGACAGGCAAGCCAGTGTACCCGTGGGTCACCTGAAGCTAAAAGTAAGGAGGAACTTTCTGAAGAGGGGAGCTGCCTCCAGAGGCAGTGAGCTCCTTCCACTAGGGATGTGCAAAGCTCCAAGTATAGATAACCACTTGGTGAGGATGTTGTTGGAGGAAGTCGTCTCCTTCCTGAAGCTAGGAGTGTATGTGTCTCCAAAGTTTCTGGCTGTTTGCTAATACCGGGGCAGATGATGAGGAATGGGAAGCTCTTCTTATTGAGATATTTGGAGTGGATCCTCTGGGTTGGTTTGTCAGCAGCAGTAGCTGTGGTCTGTAAGCTGGGAATCCCACAGGAGCTGAGGGATGGGAAGGGGATGACCAGGGAGCAGGGTCCACTGGGACCCCTGTTTGTTTGAATATTATGTTTGTATTGAAGCATTGCATGAACACCGAGAAGTGTACAAATCACAACGGACAAGTCAATAAATTTTCAAAAAGTGAATACACCTGTGTAACCAGTACCCAGCTCAATAAACAAAGCATTTCCAGTTCTCCTGGAGCCCCCGCAACCTGAGGATAACCATCCTAAGCTAAATTCTAGTAGGTTTATTTTGCCCGTTTTTGAATTTATTTTTTTCTTTTCTTTTCTTTTCTTTTCTTTTTTTTTGAGATGGAGTTTTGCTCTTCTCGCCCAGGCTGGAGTGCAATGGCATGGTCTTTGGCTCACTGCAACCTCTGCCTCCCAGGTTCAAGCAATTCTCCTGCCTCAGCCTCCCAAGTAGCTGGGATTACAGGCACCTGCCACCACATCCAGCTAATTTTTGTATTTTTAGTAGAGGCGGGATTTCACCATGTTGGCCAGGCTGGTCTCGACCTCCTGACCTCAAGTGATCCACCGGTCTCGGCCTCCCAAAGTGCTGGGATTACAGGCGCGGCCCCGTTTTGGAATTTCATACAAACTTTCTCTTTTGTATCTGGCTTCTGCCATTCAATGTTGTCTTTGAGATCCATCCACATTGTTTTGTGGCTGCTGTTCATTCATTTCATTGCTGTGTACAACTCTACTGTATGTATAATTGTCCATTCTCCTGTTAATAGACACCAGATGGTTACTAGATTGTTGACTGTTACAAATAATGCTGTTGTGACATTCTATCTGTTGATTGTATACCTAGCAATGGAATTGCTGGGTCAGAGTGTTTGTGTGTTCGTCTTTAGCAGATATTGCCAAACAGTTTTCCAGAGTGCTTTTGCTAATTTACACTCCCAACAGAAGTGTGTGAGAGTTCTGGTACTTGCCAATGTTGGTATTTTTAATCTCTTCAATCATTGCCATTCTGGTGGGTGTGGAGTGGTATCTCATTGTAGCTTTTTTTTTTTTTTTTTTTTTTGAGACAGAGTCTCGCTCTGTTGCCCAGGCTGGAGTGCAGTGGTGCGATCTCGGCTCACTGCAACCTCTACCTCCTGGGTTCAAGTGATTCTCCTACCTCAGCCTCCTGAGGAGCTGGGATTACAGGCGTGTACCCACCACACCCAGCTAATTTTTTTGTATTTTTAGTAGAGACAGGGTTTCACCATGTTGGCCAAACTGTTCTCGAACTCCTGACCCCAGGTGATCCGCCCACCTCAGCCTTCCAAAGTGCTGGGATTACAGGCATGAACCACTGTGCCCGGCTCATTGTAGTTTTAATTTGCATTTTTCTGATGTTTAATGAAGTTGAGGACCTCTTCATATGTTTATTGCCATTTGGACAGCCTCTTTTATGAAATGCCTCTTCAAGTCTTTTGTCCATTTTTAAAAATTGGTTGTCTTTCCTTTGCATCCTACGTGGCAGGAGTTCATGATTTAATATGTGGAGTCTTCTTAAGTCGCCAGGCTCCCTCTGTGTTGTTTCTATAAGGTTATGGACTCTATAATAGAGGGCTTCTCCCTTTAACCAGGTGATTCACTTAGAACAACTTCGCCTCTTTTTTGGCTGGTCACAGGTGCCTAAATGCACATCCTCTCACGCTGCTCCTGAAGATGCTGCTGCCACTGCTGCTAATGGCAGCTAATGCCATATGCCACTTTCCACAGGCCAGGCGGGGTTCTGTGCACTTTACATATTAACTTTTTTTTTTTTTGAGACAGGGTCTCACTCTGTCACCCCAGCTGGAGCACAGTGGCATGATCATGGCTCACTGCAGCCTTGACCTCCCAGGCTCAAGTGATCCTTCCTCCTCGGCAACCTGCACCCCACACAGCTAGGACTACAGGCGTGCCACCACACCTGGCTAATTTTAAAATTTTTTTTTTGTAGAGACAGGGTCTTACCATGTTGCCCAGGCTGGCCTCAAACTCCTGGGCTCAAGCGATTCTCCCACCTCAGCCTCCCAAACTGCTGAGATTTACAGGTGTGAGCCACTGCACCCAGCCCAGAGCCTGTGCTGCTTTGGACAGCATCTGGTCTCTAGGGTTTTTTGTTGTTGTTGTTTGTTTGTTTGTTTTGAGACGGAGTCTAGCTCTGTCACCCAGGCTGGAGTACAATGGCGCAGTCTCGGCTCACTGCAACCTCCGCCTCCCAGGTTTAGGAGATTCTCCTGCCTCAGCCTCCCGAGTAGCTGGGACTACAGATGCATGCCACCACGCCCGGCTAACTTTTGTATTTTTAGTAGAGACGGGGTTTCTCCATGTTGGTAAGGCTGGTCTTGAACTCCCAACCTTGTGATCTGCCCGCCTTGGCCTTCCAAAGTGCTGGGATTACAGGCATGAGCCACCATGCCTGGCCTGGTCTCTAGTGCTTCTTCCCAAGCAGTCACTGTGTCTTAACATCCAGCATGATAGAGGGGTTCAGTCCAAGGCAGTTCTGGGGTTACTGTGATGTCCATCATTTCCCAAGCCCTTTGCTAAATATTCCTGTCCTTCTCTATAAGCCTGGGGTTGAATACTATTATCAGCCCCATTTTACAAGTGAGGAAACTGAGGGCTACAGATGTTAAATGTCGTGCCCAAAACCACACAGCTGTGAGTGGATAGTAAAGCCAGGATTCACACCCTGGCCTGCCCGACTCCTTCCTGTGACTGGAATCCCAACTCTCCTGGAGGTCACGGCCTATTGCTCCAGTGCCTGCATTTGGCCTACACATATATTTTGTTTGGCCTGCAAGATAAGGGGTGTTTTTTGATTTGAGGTATGGTTTAGTAAGGTTTGGTAATTTGGCTGCTTTTAAAAACACTGGGTCCGAGTTGCTATGTAGTGACTGTCAGCTGGAGCCAGGTAGCTGCTGTCCTCTGTGGACTGCTTGGAGGTTCCCACTCTGCCTGGCTTCACTCATTACTTGCCCAGCCTGTTGTGATTTTCCATGCGGTGAGATGTGAGACTATACTTTTCCTCCCCCAACATACACTCCTGAGGGTCAGGTATCAGAATCACCTGTGGGGCTTTTTAAAGCTGTACTTCCCCTCCCCCACTCACCATCCCTACTATTCTGCCACTGGCAGTGGTGAGACAGTTTCCTATAGGAATTTGTAGTTTCTCTATGTTGTATTAGGGTAGGAAAAAAGATCAACAACTTGAGCCGGGCGTGGTGGCTCACGCCTGTAATCCCAGCACTTTGGGAGGCTGAGGCAGGTGGATTGCCTGAGGTCAGCAGTTCGAGACCAGCCTGGCCAACATGATGAAACCCCATCTCTATTAAAAATACAAAGAATTAGCTGGGCATGGTAGCAGATGCCTGTAATACCAGCTCCTTGGGAGGCTGAGGCAGGAGAATTGCTTGAGCCTGGGAGGCAGAGGTTGCACTGAGCCGAGATCACGCCATTGCACTCCAGCCTGGGCAACAAAAGCAAAACTCCATCTCAGAAAAATAAATTAATTTAAAAAAAAGGTCAACTTCCATATCCCTGTGTCCCAGTAGTGTCATGTGTGCCACACTAAACTGGAAAGACTATGGAATTCAGGTCAGAACTGGGTTCTGGTCTTGCCTCTGCCTCTAACCTACATGCAAGTGAGTTGTCCTCTCAGGCTGGGCGTAGTGGCTCACACCTGTAATCCCAGCACTTTGGGAGGCCAAGGTGGGAAGATCACTTGAGGCCAGAGTTTAAAACCAGCCTAGCCAACAGGGTGAAACCCTGTTTCTATAATACAAAAATTAGCCAGGCATGGTGGTGCACACCTGTAATTCCAGCTAACTGGGAAGCTGAGATATGAGAATTGCTTGAACCTGGGAGACGGAGGTTGCAGTGATCCAAGATTGTGCTGCTGGCGAGACTCCATCTCAAAAAAAAAAAAAAGAAAATTGTCCTCTCAGAGCTTTGGTTTTCTCCTCTGTAAAATGGAGCTAATAATTCCTGTCCACCCGCCGAGGTGCAGTGGATGGCTCCAGTGAGATCACGACTGGTAACATTCTTTGTAAACTGGAAGTTCACTTGTGCAGGGTAGTTGGTGTCCTCAGCCAAGCTGAGCATCCCTGACCTCTAGGTAGAGTCCACATTCCTGGGGGCCTGGCCTTGTGCTGTGGGCATACGATTGTGTTTGAAGGAGGGAGCCCACGGGACTTTCTCCAAGGCTTGGATACAGTGTGTTGCTGGGGCTACCCTAACAGTGTGGCCCTTTCCCCCTCATCTACCTGGCACTCTTCTCCCTATGGAGGTGGACTGTGCTGGGCCATGTCTACCTACTCCACGGGCTCCACGGGCATTGCTGGAGGGCTTGGAGATCAACTGAGACTATGAAAAGACTATCTGAATAAAACCAACTAACCTGCAAAACTCTACTAATCTAACCTGCAAGGTATCTGTCTCTGTGTTTCAGAGGTGTGATTTGTTCATTCATTGCACAAAGTTCACTTAGCATTTGCTCTGTGCTAGGCCCTGCACTGGGTGCTGAAGGTGAACGGGCATTCCACAGACATAGGGTTATGATCGTTACCGAAGGAGCCCCTGGTGGCCTGAGCTCAGGGCACCTGAGGGATGCAATGGACAGTGAGGCTGGAACAGATGATGGCTGTGCCTCCCATGTTAGGGTAGGGACTTTGGGCTTTATCTTGCAGGTAGGGAGCCTTTGAAGGTTTTTTGACAATGCCCAGGGAGGTTCCATTAGCTTAGGGGAGGAGGAGCAGGAAGATGAGAACATGAGGAGTTTAGTGTGGGATGTGTTGAGTTTGAGGCTCTGTGGAACATCCAGTGGTTGCCTTGTGGTAGGCAGTTGGATTTATGAGCCAAGACTCAGGAAAAGTTCTGGACTAGGGTTAGAGATCTGAGAGGTATTGGTAGTTGATAGTTAGAGGATTGACTATGAATGGAACTGTACAGGCCAGGCACAGTTACTCACACCTTTAATCCCAGCACTTTGAGAGGCCCAGGCAGGAGGATCACTTGAGCCCAGGGGTTCAAGAGCAGCCTGGGCAACATAGCGAGACCCTGTCTCTGCAAAAAATGTTTTAAAAATTAGCTGGGTATGGTGGCACATGCCTCTAGTCCCAGCTGCTTGCGAGGTCGAGGTGGGAGGATCACTTGAGCTCAGAGATTGAGGCTGCAGTGAGCCATGAATCATGCTGCTGTACTCCAGCCTGGGCAACACAGACCCTGTCTCAAAACAAAACAAAACAAAAAAGCCTTACAGAGTGTGGGGAGGAGAAGAATGAAATGTGGGGTGGTTCAGCCCCCTCAAGTTACAGATGAGCAAACAGGGCCCAGAGGAAAGCCGTTTGCTTATGGCCTCAGCAGTAAGTGTCATTCATCCATTCATTCAACAGATATTTATTGAATACCTGCCATGTACTAGGAGCTAGTTTAAGTGCTGGGATACAGCAGTGAGCAAAACACTCAGGGAGCTTACATGCCGGTGGGCAGACTCAGAAAACAAATTAAATATTATGTTAAGTAGTGGGAAGTGCTACAGATAAAAGTAAAGCAGTGTATTCTTTGATTTTAAAGATAAGGAAAATAGGGCCAGGCGTGGTGGCTCACGCCTGTAATCCCAGCACTTTGGGAGGCCGAGGCAGGCAGATCACTTGAGGTCAGGAGTTTGAGACCAGCCTGACCAACATGGTGAAACCCCATCTCTACTAAAAATACAAAAATCAGCCAGCCATGGCGGCGGGTGCCTGTAATCCCAGCTACTTGGGAGCTGAGGCAGGAGAATTGCTTGAACCCGGGAGGCGGAGGCTGCAGTGATCTGAGGTCGTGCCACTGCACTCCAGCCTGGGTGACAGAGGAAGACTCCATCTCAAAAAAAAAAGACTTTTAAGATTTTGACCTAAGTAACAGGAAGGATGGAGTTGCCACAAGGTAAGATTATGTGATGAGTAGGTTTTAGGGGAGAATTGAGAGTTCAGTTTTGACAGGTTAACTTAGAGCTACCTGTAGACACCTACACAGAGTCAGTAGCAGCAGCAATAAGACCATCATTTCAGCCCCTTCCCCTTCTCTCGGATGCCAAGTCCATGCACCCGTCCCTCTGCACCCTGTCTGTGTAGCTTTCTAATCTCTGGCCGCTGACCTGGGCCACTAGCCACCTCCCCACACTGAGAACTGACCCCAGCCCCCTGCCCCTAGGTTGTGCACAGGGACCTGAAGCCCAGCAACATCCTGTATGTGGACGAGTCCGGGAATCCCGAGTGCCTGCGCATCTGTGACTTTGGTTTTGCCAAACAGCTGCGGGCTGAGAATGGGCTCCTCATGACACCTTGCTACACAGCCAACTTTGTGGCGCCTGAGGTGAGTGGCCCAGCCTCCTCAGCTGTAAGAGTGAGGGGGAATTGGAGGCCTTGTGCCCCCTCCCAGAGGCCCCACATTAGCCGGGACTCCAGTCTCTGTGACCTTGGCCCAGCTGGCAAGGGAAGATCTAGCCTGTGCCTGGGACCCTTGTCCTGCCCTTGAGGGGAGTAGCAGGAAACATCTGTGGCGACTTTCTACTGCCCCCCCAGACTGACCACCTCCCCTGCCCTGTTGCCAGGTGCTGAAGCGCCAGGGCTACGATGAAGGCTGCGACATCTGGAGCCTGGGCATTCTGCTGTACACCATGCTGGCAGGGTGAGTGCCCCTGGCCTGGACCCTTCCCCACTCCTGCAGCCCTAGCACTTGGGCTGAGTGGTGCTTGTCTGATAGGAATGGCTCAGCCAGCCCCGCCCCAGGATGGTCTGGAAATAGGGACATGCTCCTGCCTCCAGGAGCTCTACCTTGGGAGTACCCCATCTGAGGGGGAGACACAGTCTCCCACCGCAGCCCCAGCCCCAGTATGGAGGCCAGAGTCTGTACCCAGACCGTGCGGGCTTTTCTGCAGATATACTCCATTTGCCAACGGTCCCAGTGACACACCAGAGGAAATCCTAACCCGGATCGGCAGTGGGAAGTTTACCCTCAGTGGGGGAAATTGGAACACAGTTTCAGAGACAGCCAAGGTGAGTCTGTACGGCCTGCGTGGGCTTATTTGGAGGAGGGAGGCAGGGTCCCATCCTAGGGCTTTTCAGCAGTTCATGAACAGCCTCATTTCTCCAAGCGGATGTTCCACAAATCCCTGTTGCTGTATTTCTCCAAGCGGAAGATTCCCAGGCAGACCACCACCACCTCCGTACCTTGTTGGGGTAACCTGGTGATCATTCATTGGCCCTTCTCATTCTGGACCCTGTGGGGCACTGAGGGCTGCATCATCACAGTCCCGGCTTTGTGGAAACGTAGTGTAGTGAGGGATACAGGTTTGCACACAAGGGGCAGAGATGCCTGGAGGCACAGATAGGCGGACGCTCTTGGCCAGGGGTGTGGACCGTGGAGACACAGAGCAGAGCAACTGGCCATGCCAAGCAGAGCCTCCTCGGAGGAAGTAGCATGTGAGCTTTCAGTATTAGCAACAGTTTTTGGTCATTGGGAACCTGTATGCCAGACAGAGTTGAACCCTCTATGTACGGCCGGCCACCTCACATCAACCTGTGAGGCAGGGAGTGGTTATTCCTATTTCTCAGCAGGGAAACTGAGGCTCAGAGAGTTGAAGGAACTTGCCCAGGGCACTCATTTGATGAGTGCAGAAGGCAAGTTTTGAACCTGAATCTGTCTGAGCCCAAACCTGAGGCTTTTCCCACCTTCCCACATGGCTTTTTGAAGGCAAAGGAGAAATGGAAGGGTGTTCCAGGACGAAGGGCCTAGAGCAGCAAAGGCCCAGCGACAGGAACCTTGGCTGTGTGCGGGGAGCCCTGGAGCAGAGTGGAGAATGGATCCCAGGGGCTGCCGCAAGGGTTCAGGCGGGAGCTAGCAGGAGATGGTTGCCCTCCTGTGCCCCATCAGGGGCCTGCTCCCCTGCAGCCCTCCCCCAACCCCCTTGCCCACTGTGTCCCCAGGACCTGGTGTCCAAGATGCTACACGTGGATCCCCACCAGCGCCTCACAGCTAAGCAGGTTCTGCAGCATCCATGGGTCACCCAGAAAGACAAGCTTCCCCAAAGCCAGCTGTCCCACCAGGACCTACAGCTTGTGAAGGTATGGCCACCCTTGGGCTGCTGGGCATCTGGGGGGTCAGCCCAAGGTGGCATGGTCAGGGACTTGTGGAAGAGCCAGGCAATGCCATGTCTGTACCAAGCACCATGAGGTGGAACATAGGAGAAGAAGACACAGCCCTGCCGTCAGGGAGCCTAACATGCTACAGTGTCACGGTGCACTCACAGCCCCCAATCCTCTGGAAGGCACAGCTGCTGACCTCTGAACCCTCCAGTCTGATGGGGGAGGCAGGACCCATGACCATAAAGGACCACTGAGGCTGGATTAACAGTGGGCTAGGCTGGGCGCGGTGGCTCACACCTGTAATCCCAGCACTTTGGGAGGCTGAGGTGGGTGGATCACGAGGTCAGGAGTTCAAGACCAGCCTGACCAAGATGGTGAAACCCCATCTCTACTAAAAATACAAAAATTAGCCAGGTGTGGTGGCAAGCGCCTGTAATCCCAGCCATTTGGGAGGCTGAGACAGGAGAATCGCTTGAACCCTGGGGGCAGAGGTTGCAGTGAGCCAAGATTGTGCCATTGCGTTCCAGCCTGGGTGACAGAGTGAGACTGTATCTCAAAAAAAAAAAAACAACAAAAACAAAACCAAAAAAAGTGGGCTGTGGAACACTGAGAGGGGCTGGCCTACCCTTGGGGCATGGATCCCCTCCCCGCTACATCTCCCACCATTGTGACCTGACCTCCCCACTTCTCTTTCAGGGAGCCATGGCTGCCACGTACTCCGCACTCAACAGCTCCAAGCCCACCCCCCAGCTGAAGCCCATCGAGTCATCCATCCTGGCCCAGCGGCGAGTGAGGAAGTTGCCATCCACCACCCTGTGAGGCACCAGGGCATTCGGGCCACAGGGCGGTGCTAGCTTGACACAGTCAGCATGCTTCCCAGAGGGAGCAGGCCGGAACCACAGGGCCAGAGGGAGCTGGAACCCGAGGGGCCGGGGAAGCTGCCAGCCCAGAACACCCCTAATGAGGGTGTGAGAAGTGCCTTCTCCTTCCCCAGGATGGACTCTTCTCGGCTCAGGCTCTGCTGGTGGAAAGCGATTCACTGTATAAACTTTTTTTTATGAAAAAAATGGCATCAACCACCATGGATTTTTACAAGATCCATTTGCCTTTCTGGGAGCAGAAACAGCCATTGCGGCCCCAGGAGGGGAACTGAGTCACGCTGGGGCTCTCTGAGACTCTTTAGAGCAGCTTTGGGATCCCACCCTGGGGACCCCCACGATTGGCCACCTGTAGCCATCTGCACACACCTCCGAGACAGTCCAGTGTCACCTCTCTCAGAGCATCTGGCTGTTTAGCAGAACTCATTCTATCCCCAATCAGCTCCTTTTCCGTTCTGTTCTGCTGGGAGTTCTAGAACCACTTCCTGCTACAGGAGGGGTCTCATGTCCTGCTGGCTTCCAGCTTCAGGCACCAGCATCCACCTTGGCTCTGCCAGTGGATCCCCTGCGGTCAGGCTGGGCAGCCCCAGAGAGAGGATGTGGAAAGCACTTTTTGGCTGACTTCATCTGGGGTTGGCAACAGGACAGAGTTCACAGGAGGCCAGTGGGCGGGCCATGAGGGACAGGGTCTTTTTTCATTTCTTCCTCAGCTGGTTACTCAGGGTTCATCTGTCCATGGCCTTTCTAATAAACTGTTGAGTTGAAGCACGCTCTCCTGCACTCTTCATCCCTGAATTTACCCTCTCTCTGCTATCGGATGTTGAAGACATTGGCAGTGACAGAAAATGGGCCAGGGCCAGTTAGCCCAGCTGCTTGGAACCAGGTCATCTGGGGAGTGTGTGGGAATCCCGCTGGCCTGGCCCACGTGTTCCTGCCAGGGGATTCCATTATGGTATTGATAACAGTATTATTAGCCAATGGTGACCAAGTGCCAGGCACTATGCCTGGGCCTCACATGAATATCTCATTTAATCTTAACCCTGTGAGGTAGATGCTCTGTATTATCCCTGTTTTATAGATGGGGAAACAGGCTCAAGTTGGGGAATGACATTTTCTCATGCAGTATTTTCTGAGCACTCATTCTGGCCCTGTTCTGGATGCTGGTGAACCAGGTAAAGAACAAGGTCATTGTGTCCAGGGGTCTTACTTCCCAGTAGGGGAAACGGACACTTAACAAGCCATGGTCAGCTACTGATAAGACACATACAGAATTAAACTGGGGTGAGATATTGGGTAATCAGGGAAGGCCATTCTGGGGAGGTAACCCAGGAGCTGAGATCTGAATGGTGAGAAGGGGTCAGCCAAGACTGGTAGGCAGAGGGCAGTCAGGACAAAGGCCATGAGGGGGAAACAGGCTCGGTGTGCTCAGGGATGAGAGGAGGCTGATGTAGCTGTGACCCCAGAGCCAGGCGTTTGCCCAAGATGAGGCTGGAAAGGAGGCAGAGGCCAGTTATGCTAGGCACTGTAAGCCAGGATTAGGCGTGCATTTAATTCTGAGTGAGGCGCAAGCTCCTAAAATAATTTGAGCAGGAAAGTGACATGATTTGATCATGATTTGATTCACATTTTTAAGAGATCACTCTGGGCCAGGTGCAGTGGTTCACGCCTGTTATCCCACCACTTTGGGAGGCCGAGGCAGGCAGATCACTTGAGGTCAGGAGTTCAAGACCAGCCTGGCCAACATGGCGAAACTCTCTCTACTAGAAATACAAAAATTAGCTGGGTGTGGTGGCGCATGCTCCCACCCATCAGCTCGCAAGGCTGAGGCATGAGAATTGCTTGAATCTGGGAGACAGAGGTTGCAGTGAGCCGCGATCGCACCACTGCACTCCAGCCCAGGCGACAGAGCGAGACTGTCTCAAAAAAATAAAAGATCACTCCGATTGCTCTGTAGAGAATTTGGACAGTGAGGTGGGGAGGCAGGAGGGAAGCAAGGTGACCAGGTTGGTGGCTACTGCAGTAGCCCAGGCAAGAGATGAGGTGGCTTGGACTAGGGTGGTGGGATGGAGATTGGGATGGAGTAGATGGGGTCAGGATATGCTTTGGAGGTAAAGTAGACAGCACTTGCTGGCAGTTTGCATGCAGAGGATAAGGGAAACAGAAGATTCAAGGATATCTTCTAGATTTTTGGGGAAAGAGTTTTGGGGGAAGCATTGGAGAGAAATAGGTTTGAGGAAAATTTTTAGAGCTCTGTGGGAGGTAACTTTTAAGTATCCAAATGGCTGGGCATGGTGGCTCACGCCTGTAATCCCAGCACTTTGGGAGGCCGAGGCAGGTGGATCACCTGAGGTTGAGAGTTCGAAACCAGCCTGACCAACATGGAGAAACCCCGTCTCTACTAAAAATAATAGAAAATTATGCCGGGCGCAGTGGCTCATGCCTGTAATCCCAGCACTTTGGGAGGCCGAGGCGGGCGGATCAGGAGGTCAGGAGATCGAGACAATCCTGGCTAACATGGTGAAACCCTGTCTCTACTAAAAATACAAAAAATTAGCCGGGCCTAGTGGCGGGCACCTGTAGTCCCAGCTACTCAGGAGGCTGAGGCAGGAGAATGGCATGAACCCAGAAAATGGAGCTCACAGTGAGCCGAGATCGTGCCACTGCACTCCAGCCTGGGTGAGAGAGCGAGACTCCATCTCAAAAAATAAATAAATAAATATAAATAAAAATATCCAAATGGAGATGTCAAATAAGAGTTGTAATTAGAAGTTGAAGTTCTAGGGAGAGATCTGAACTGGAAAGATAAATTTGGAAGTCATTAGCTTGGAGAAAGTTTGCAAAGCCAAGAGACGGGGCTTCTGAGAGTGTGGTCCACATACCAGTAGCATCAGCATCATCTGGGAGCTGGGTAGAAGTGCTGAATCTCAGGCCTGTCCCCAGACCTGGTTAATAGGAATCTATCTTATAACAAGGTCTACATGTGATTTCTGTGCATATTAAAGTTTGAGAAGTGCTGTTCTAGGGCCTGAGCAAAGATGAGGGGGTGGGGGGATGCCTGTGCTGAGCCCTGGAGCACCAGCAAGGGACACTCAGGGATGACAGCCAGAGGACCCCCCCACCCCCAGTCTGGCAAGATTCCAAGCCTTATGAACCAGGCCTTGGTTTCCATTATGTCTCGGCCGCCCCACTTTACAGATTTTAGAAAGCTAGGGCCTTAGAAGTGAATAAGTCCTGTTATGATGGAAGGAGATTCTGATAACAGCAGCTAAGTTTTGGGGCTGGCCTAAGTGTACGGATTCTAAGCCCGGCAGCCTCCCCACAGGAGCAAGGAGGGTGCTGTTGGGGCCCCATGGGCTAGGAAGCCCTCCTTTGCAACCAGTGACACTTATGTGGTACTTAGCCCCAACCCATGTCCTGTGTGTTTCACTTCTTGGAGACTTGGTTTCCCCATCTTGGAACCAACATTTCCTGTCCCACCCATCATCCAGGGTTGTCTCCCCTGGACCCCATCACCCAGCTGGAATCCTGAGCATCACCCTGCCTCCTTCCCCCCACTTCTGCATCCTGCCACCATCAATTCTGTTTCCTAAATATTTGGAGGATCCATCCCCTCCTCTCCATCCTCCCTGCCCTTCTCATATTTTTGTTCTTCCAGTAGCCTACTAAATCTCTCCAGACTTTTGTGTCCCCAACATCCTCCATTTACAATCACAAATCTGACCCAGCATCTGCCCTGAAGTGACTCGTCACTGTCTACAAGATATTGCTGAGGCATCCTCGCTTGAATTCAGTGTCCTGTGTGATCTGGCCCCCACCAAGATCCCAGTGTCAACTCTGTAACTTGTCCCCAAACTGCTCACAAGACCCAAACCTGCCGTGCTTCTGCCTCCACTGGATTCTGCTGCCACGTGTGCCCTGCTAATTTCCCATCCTTTAGGAAAATTCAAATGACACCTCCAGGAAGCCAACTAGGACACCACAAACTGTTTGGTGACCTTCCTTTGGGGTCCTCAGACCCCGCTCTGTGCCCCATTTCTGCGTATACCACACTTTTGGAAACAGCTGATGATGTGTTTTCTCCCCACTAGTCTGTGAACCTGAGGGTGTGGGCTGTGCTTTGTTCATTCCATATCCTGTGCACCTGGCACACAGTTTTTTGGTCCTCAGCTAGTGTTTGTTGAATGGGTGAGTGAACGAGAGAGCAGACTTGATGGTGCTGGGGGAAGCATAGAGCTGGAGCCTGGAAAGGCATCTGGGGTGGAAGGGAAGCTGGTGCTCTGAGGCATTGAGCTGTTAGTGTCTTGCCCCAGGCACCAGAAGGAAGATCCAAGAACCAGGAAATGGTGGATGGGTGGGTGGGGTGGGAGTCCATAGGTTTCTCAGCAGCCAAACCCCAAAACCCTAATACTTCACCTCTGTGGGCTTCAGTTTCCGCACTTGCTAAATGGGGATAATTCTTGCCCACCTCACAGCATCACCTGAAGATCAAATGAGTGTGTGAATATGAATGTGTTTAGGAAGGTAAAAAGCTTTGCAATTAGGCTCATTATAGTTTTCACAGGTCGGGACAGCCCCCCAGGGACTCACTGGACTCCAGAAACGCAGTTCCCAGCCACCAGCACCTCCAGTAGGAACTTTCCTCTCTGAGTGCTGACTGCCTGGACAAAACCCATTAATAGGCTGGGCATGGTGGATCACGCTTATAGTCCCAGCACTTTGGGAGGCCAAAGCAGGAGGGTCGTTTGAGGCCAGGAGTTTGTGACCATCCTGGGCAATGTAGTGAGACCCAAGACCCGTTTCTATTTAAAGAAAAAAAAAGTAAAAATGTTTTTAAACCCACTAATGAGAGTGTATATTCAAGGCAACTTGAATCTATGCTCCCAGGAAATATTTTAAATAAGTGAAAAAAAAAAAACACGAATAGCAATAACCCAGCTTGGGACAACAAATGATCAATCCTCATGTCCCCAAGTTCCACAGTCACTCTTCCTTTTTTCTGAGAGTCTTGTTCTGTCACCCAAGCTTGCTGCAACCTCTGCTTTACAAGGCTCAAGTGATCCTCCCACCTCAGCCTAACAAGCTGGGACTACAGGTGTGCACCACCATAGCTGGCTAATTTATTTTATTTTATTTTGTAGAAACGGGTTCTCGCTATGTTGCCCAGGCTGGCCACTCTTCCCTTTAATGCCCAAATAACAACCCCTGAGCACTCACCCTGCAGAATGTCCCCTCCCATAAAATAGTGGCTCCCATCTATCAATCAAATGCTCGTGATGGGAGTGCTGGGCACCAAGTGCTTCCCTTACTTTATTTCATTTGATCCTCATTATGAGGGAGATGTGATAATTTCACACACAAGAAAATTGAGGATTGGAAATTAAATGACTTGCCCGAGGACCCAGCTAAGAGGCAGAGCAGGACTCAAATTGAGATCTCTATGTTTCTGAAACTCACACTTCACCAGTGTGCTGTCCAGCCTCTCTGCTTCTGAAAATGCCCAAGACCTAGTCACACGTGCCACAGATCTGTCTGGTGACCACCCTTCCCCTCAGCCAGCCAGGTGATCATAAAGGTCCCATAACATTGGGGTCTGGTGTCAATTGGAGGACACAGTAGGAAAGTTCTATTTCCCAGCTGGCAAGCTGTAAAAAACAAGATGGGGAATTTGGGGAGTTTCCTGCAGACATTCTCAGAAGGTAGAGCATTCCCATCCCCTGTGCTGCATACACAGCGCACTAATGACGTGTTGAGGTCTTAGAGGAGATTCCTCTTCCCATAGGGGACAGTTTAGATGATCTCACATGTCCCCTTTGGGTCAGAGACTCAGATTCTCAATTGTTGATGCAGACATCAAAATCCCTGAGCATTTTTTGCATTTTACCCACTTATGTATCATGTTTTCCATGATTATTTCAGAGACAGGCCCCCACAGAGAAAAGACTGGTTTCCTACATATGTTAAATAATTCAACCAGTTAGCACCTTGGTTAACACATGGATTTAATTCACTCACTCACCCCGTAATGAAAGGCCACAAAGAACACGCCGACCCATGATTGGTCATTTGTTCATTGGCCGTGGTAGGCACAAGGTCTTGAGTTCCTTCTTTAACCAGGCAGAGTATACACATCATCCCTAATATGAAAAGCAATCTAATGAGG
The DNA here is from genome assembly GCF_000001405.40 of Homo sapiens. Taxonomy (NCBI): domain Eukaryota; kingdom Metazoa; phylum Chordata; class Mammalia; order Primates; family Hominidae; genus Homo; species Homo sapiens. Next base: position 68,039 of record NW_009646195.1, read on the forward strand.
GAGGTATTACAATTTCCATTATTTATTTTTTTTTTTTTTTTGAGATGGAGTCTCGCTTGGTCACTCAGGCTGGAGTGCAATGGGACAGTCTCGGGTCACTGCAACCTCCACCTCCCAGGTTCAAATGATTCTCCTGCCTCAGCCTCCCGAGTAGCTGGGACTACAGGTGCACGCCACCACGCCCGGCTAATTTTTGTATTTTTAGTAGAGATGGGGTTTCACTATGTTGGCCAGGCTGGTCTTGAACTCCTGACCTCGTGATCCACCCGCCTCAGCCTCCCAAAGTGCTGGGATTACAGGCGTGAGCCACTGCACTTGGCCTACAATTTCCATTTTATAACAAGGAAACTGAGGCTAAGGGAGGACACTTGCCCACAATCTCCAAGCAAGGAAGTGGTTCAGCCAGGTTTTGAACCCAGGCCTATCTGGCTCCAAGCTCATGTGTGTCCTACTATTCAACCAACCCTGGTGCACAGGCTAAATATCTTCCCACAGTGACTCAAAAAATCTCACAGTCAGAAGGGCTCTAAAGGCCTTGACTCAACCTCCACCCACTATAGGAATCTCCCACAGATGGTTTCCAATTTCTGTTCGAATACCACCAGTGATGGAGAATCCACCACATCACAAGGCAATCCCCCACACAGTTGGAAAGTTCCTCCACTTTGAACTGAGGGCTTCTGAGTAGCTTCCACTTCTTGTGGGGGGTTCCCACTAACTCCTGGGGACCCAAGGGAGAAATGATTCAACAGAAGCAGGAGAGAGATCTACATGAGCACCCCACCCCCAGTGGAGGTAGTTGCAGGTGGCAGGCAAAGGAGTGGTACTAAGGCTACTCCAAGGAGAGGGAAAGACCCAGAGAAGTGAGCAGGAGGCCCTCGTGGGCCATCATTTCCCAGGGCCTTTGCAGTGGTCCCCACCTTTTCCCTCCCGCCTCAGCTCCTGCCCCACTCATCTGTGAAGGCAGCAGTGGGTAATGGGAACAGGCAGAGCTAGACAGACCCGAGATCATATCCCAGCCCTAATGCTGACCTGCCATGTGACCTTGGGCAAGTTGCTTCACTATTCTGACATTTCAACTGTCAAACAGAGCGATAGTGAGCATTAAAGGAGAGAGTGTTGGCCGGGCATGGTGGCTCATACCTGTATTCCCAGTACTTTGGGAGGCTGAGACTGGCGGATCATTTGAGGCCAGGAGTTTGAGACCAGCCTGGCCAACATGGCGAAACCCCATCTATTCTAAAAATACAAAAAATGAATAAATAATTAGCCAGGCGTGGTGGCAAGTGCCTGTATTCCAGCTACTTGGGAGGCTGAGACACGAGAATCACTTGAACCTGAGATGCAGAGACGGCAGTGAGCCGAGATCGTGCCACTGCACTCTAGCCTGGGTGACAGAGTGAGACTCTGTCTCAAAATAAAATAATAAAATAATAGCCGGGCACAGTGGCTCGCGCCTGTAATCCCAGCACTTTGGGAGGCTGAGGCGGGTGGATCACCTGTGGTCAGGGGTTCGAAACCAGCCTGGCCAACATGGCGAAACCCCATCTCTACTAAAAATACAAAGTTAGCTGGGCATGGTGGCGCATGCCTGTAATCCCAGTTTCTTGGGAGGCTGAGGCGGGAGAATCGCTTGAACCTGGGAAGCAGAGGTTGCAGTGAGCCAAGATTGCACCACTGCACTCCAGTCTGGGCAACAAGAGTGAAACTGTCTCAGAAAAAATAAATAAATAAATAAATAATAAAGAGGAGAGAGCGTGTGAAGTGTGTACGGAGCTGCTCAGTTATAAGCAAACAACATGAGGACGTGGGAAGCAGGCTAGAGTAGTGTGGTTAAGTGCAGACCTGGGATTAAGCTGTCCTGGTTTTGTTAAACTTTTTTTCTTGAGGGACAAACAACCCTGGCTTACAATCCAACTTTGACCACTTGCTTGTGGATCTTGGGCAAGCCATTTAATCTCTCTACCTTGATTTACTCATATGATTCATTTATTTATTTTTTAGAGACAGAGTCTTACTCTGCCTTGTCACCCAGGCTGGAGTGCAGTGGTATGATCATGGCTCACTGTAACCTCGACCTCCCAGGTTCAAGCAATCCTCCCACTTCAGCCTCCTCAGTAGCTTAGACCACAGGCACGGACTAACATGCCTGGCTAATTTTTATTTTATATTTTATTATTTTATTTTTTTGTAGAGCTGGGTTCTCACCATGTTGCCTGGACTGGTCTTGAACTCCTGGGTTCAACTGATCCTCCTGCCTCAGCCTCCCAAAACCTTGCGATTACAGGTCTGAGCCAATACGCCTGGCCTTCTCACCGGTTTAAGTAGAAGGAATCATATCCAGAACCTGGACAGGTCAGCTCATTTAAGCATCCTTGCCCCATGAAAAGAGGGAGCCCTTTCATTATGACCTTTACTCTCTTTCCAGAACCTCTCTCTGAGTTATAACTCATGTTTATGACTCAGTCTGAGACTTCTTTTTATAATTTCCTCTGTTTCTCTTCCCTTCTTCTGCTCCCCACCACCCCCGCCCGCTGTGGGCTGAGTTGAGAAACCGAGGGGTGATGACACATGTTGGAGCTGGGCATGAGGCCTGCACTTAGGATGGGCCTGGGGTCACTCATCCGTTGCAGAATCTTCTTTCCAGACCTGGACTTGGGCAAAGTCATTCCTGCAGTCGTTAGGAAGCTTTTCAGCTACTGGGTCCTTTGTGGGCTTCTGTGAGTGGGGGTTGGAATCAGAAGACACAAATGAGGTCAAATCTCAACAGCAGCCATCACTAACTATATGATCTTGGGCAAGTCACTTGGCCTAAGTCTTATTTCCCTCATCTGCAGACCATCATCAGAGAGTCATGGAGGAGATAAAAAGAAACAATGAGGATAAAGGCTCTGGCAGGAATCCGATCCAGAACAAATGATGGCTGAATTGCAAGAATGCTTGATAGAACCTTCAGGCCTAAGTGAGATGCTCCAGAACCAAGGGATCTTAATTCAGGGCCCATGGCATCCCAGGCATGGGGATATATGTAAAATGACCTGTATATCTTCCTGGGAGGAGAGGGTACAGGGTTTGTCATCAGATTCTCAAAGGAATTCAAGATCTCCTAGATGTTAAGAAACATTTTATCCAGGGGAGCAGATAACACTTTTACTTTTCAAGCATGTAGAACAGCAGTCCTGCCACAGCACTGTGCGATAGTTCTTTCAGTAGACTTAACGTTCCAGGCTGGGCACGGTGGCTCACACCTGTAACCCCAACACTTTGGAAGGCCAAGGTGGGTGGATTGCTTGAGCCCAGGAGTTTGAGACCAGCCTGGGCAACATGGTGAAACCCCCTCTATACCAAAAATACAAAAATATTAGTCAGGCATGGTGGGGTGTGACTGTGGTCCTAGCTATTTGGAAAGCTGAGAAAAGCTGAGGTGGGAGGATCCCTGGAGCCAGGGAAGTTGACGCTGCAGTGAGCTGTGATTGTGCCACTGCACTTCAGCCTGGGTGACAGAGAGAGACTAGGCATTAAAAAAAAAAATTAAATTAAATTTAAAAAACACAAAAATTAAAAACTTATGTTCCAGACACGGAAGATACTAAAATGAGAGCAATTGGCTTCTTGACTTTCTGGAGCATTGAATTTCAGAGAGGTTAATCGATTTAGCCAAGGTCACACAGTGCTGAAGGAAGCCTGATGCTGGAATTGGACCCCCAAGTCTCTGACTGCAAAGTTGGCCACTTTGTGTCTTGATAAAGGAGCCTTCTCAGGGGTCAAGTTCCTTCTGTTGGCTGAGACCAACAAGATCAGCATTCTATAAGGCCTGGGAATGGTCATTGGTTGAGGTCACATTGAGGGCCTCTGCCAGGGAGATGAGTGTGAGCTACCAGCTCACCTCCTGGGGGTGCTGATGAGCTGCCTGTAGATTGACTGGGGTTGTTAATCACCCATGATTCAGGGAGAAGGGGTTATCTTGCTGACTGCAGGCTGACAGACCATGAGGGAGCTCCACGTGTGTATTTATATCAACAATACTGAGGTTTAATTTACATACAACAAAATGCATAGATTGGCCAGGCGTGGTGGCTTAAGCCTGTAATCCCAGCACTTTGGGAGGCCGAGGTGGGCAGATCACCTGAGGTCGGGAGTTCGAGACCAGCCTCAGAAACCCCATCTCTACTGAAAATACAAAATTAGCCAGGCGTGGTGGCGCATGCCTGTAATCCCAGCTACTTAGGAGGCTGAGGCAGGAGAATCGCTTGAACCTGGAAGTGGATGTTGTGGTGAGCCAAGATTATGCCATTGCACTCCAGCCTGGGCAACAAGAGCAAAACTCTGTCTGAAAAAATAATAATAATAAATAAGTAAATTAAAAAATAAAAAATAATAACAATAATAAAATGCATAGATTTTAAATGTACAATTGAATGAGTTTGGACAAACTGATACACCTATGAAACCCACACCACTCTCAAGGTATAGAACGTTTTCATTACACAGAGCATTCCCTGCATCCCCTCTCAATTCCTTCAGAGCCAGAGGCAATCACTGTTCTGATTTTTGTCACCATAAGTTAGTTTTGCCTGTTCTAGAACTCAATAAAAATTGAATCGTCCAGTGTATACTTTTTGTGTCTGACTTTTCCCATTCAACATAGCATCCGTCAAGATTCACCAATCTTGCTGTATGTCAGTAGCTCATTCTCTGTTGTTGCTGAAGTGGTATTCTATTGAATGAAAATGCCATAGTTTAATTCATTCATCTGTTGATGGACATTCTTTTTATCCCCTTGTTTTTGGCTAATATAAACATTTATGTACGAATCTTTGTGTGGACACACGTTTATATTTCTCTTGGGTAAATAGAAGTGGTATTGCTGTGTCACAGGATAGGTGAATGTTTAATTATATAAAAAGTTACTAGGCTGGGTGTGGTGGCTCACCCCTATAATCCAGCACTTTGGGAGGCCAAGGTGGATGGATTGCTTGAGCTCAGGAGTTGAGACAAGCCTTGGCAACATGGTAAAACCCCATTTCTATCAAAAAAAAAAATTAGCCAGGCATGGTGACGAACCTCTAGTCCCTACTACTCAGGGGGCTGAGGTGGGAGAATTGCTTGAGCCCAGCAGGTCAAGACTGCAGTGAGCCATAATCACACCACTGCACTCCAGCCTGGCTGACAGAGTGAGACCCGTCTCAAAAAGAAAAAAAAAATTACTAAATTGTTTTCCAAAACAGTTGTGCCATTTTACACTCCCACCAGGAATGTATTACAGTTCCTGTTGCTTCATACCCTTGCCAGCCTTTGGTATTATTAATCTTTTTTTTTTTTTTTTTGAGACAGAGCTTTTGATCTTGTTGCTCAGGCTGCAGTGCAGTGGCGCGATCTCGGCTCACTGCAACTCCGCCTCTCAGGGTCAAGCAAATCTCCTGCCCCAGCCTCCTGAGTAGCTGGGATTACAGGTGTGCACCACCATACCCTGCCAATTGTTTTGTATTTTCAGTAAAGACAGGGTTTCTCCCTGTTGGCCAGGCTGGTCTTGAACTCCTGAACTCAGGTGATCCACCTGCCTCGGCCTCCCAAAGTGCTGGGATTACAGGTGTGAGCCACCATGCCAGTGATTTTTTTTTTTTTAAGATGGAGTCTTGCTCTGTCACCCAGGCTGGAGTGCAGTGGCACGATCTTGGCTCACTGCAACCTCCACCTCCCAGGTTCAAGTGATTCTTCCACCTCAGCCTCCCAAGCAGCTGGGATTACAGGCATGCACCACCGTGCCCAGCTAATTTTTGTATTTTGAGTAGAGATGGGGTTTCACCATATTAGCCAAGCTGGTCTCAAACTCCTGACCTTGTGATCTGCCCGCCTTGGCCTCCCAAAGTGCTGGGATTACAGGCGTGAGCCACCACGCCCCGCCACACCCTGTGATATTAACTTTAGTCATTCAAGTGGGTATGAAGTGATTTAGCTTTGAGGATTTCATTTGCATATCTCTAATGACTATGACATCAAGCATCTTTTGATGTGCTTGTTGACTATTCCTGTATACTCTTTCATCTATTCAAAACTTTTGAGCCATTTAAAAAATTGTGTTGGGGCCGGGCCCAGTGGCTCACGCCTGTAATCCCAGCACTTTGGGAGGCCAAGGCGGACAGATCACCTGCAGTCAGGAGTTCAAGACCAGCCTGGCCAACATGGTGAAACCCAGTCTCTACTAAAAAAAAAAATACAAAATTAGCCAGGTGTGGTGGCACACACCTGTAATCCCAGCTATTTGGGAGGCTGAGGCAGGAGAATCACTTGAACCTGGGAGGTGGCAGTTGCAGTGAGCCAAGATCGAGCCATTGCACTCCAGCCCGGGCAAAAAGAGCGAAACTCCATCTCAAAAAACAAAACAAAACAAAAAAAAAAAATTGTGTTGGCTGGGCATGGTGGCTCACACCTGTAATTCCAGCACTTTGGGAGACCGAGGAGGGTGGACTACCTGTGGTCAGGAGTTTGAGACCAGCCTGGCCAACATGGTGAAACCCCATCTCTACTAAAAATACAAAAATTAGCCAGGCGTAGTGACAGGTGCCTGCAATCCCAGTTACTTGAAAGGCTGACACAGAAGAATTGCTTGAACCTGGGAGGTGAAGGTTGCAGTGAGCCAAGATCACGCTACTGCACCCCAGCCTGGGTGACAGAGCAAGACTCTGTCTCAAATAATAATAATAATACAATAAATAAATAAAAATAAAAAGTTGTGTTGTTGGCCACACATGGTGGTTCATGCCTGCAATCTCAGCAATTTGGGAGGCCAAGATGGGAGGATCACTCGAGCCCAGGAGTTTGAGACCAGCCTGGGCAACATAGTGAGACTTTGTTGCTACAAGGAAAAACTTTTTTAGTTAGCTGGGCATGGTGTCACATGCCTGTGGTCCTAGTTACTTGGGAAGCTGAGATGAGAGGATTGCTTAGGCCTGGGAGGTAGAGGCCGCAGTGAACTGTGATCATGCCACTGCACTCCAGCCTGGGCGACTGAGTCTCGAAAAGAAAAAAAAAAGATGAGAAACCTACAAGAGGAGAGGTTAAATAACTTACTCAAGGACACAGGTAGTAAGAGACAGAGCTGGGATTAAATCCAGGTCAGACTCACCTGGAACTTCCTGCTCCTAATCCTTACTGCTTTACCATCTCTGTAATTTAAGACCCAGGTGATGGTTAGTCTGGAATTTTTTTTTTTTTTTTTTTTTTTTTAGAGGGAGTCTCGCTCTTAGGCCAGGCTGGAGTGCAGTGGCACAATCTTGGCTCACTGCAAGCTCCGCCTCCTGGGTTCATGCCATTCTCCTGCCTCAGCCTCCCAAGTAGCTGGGACTACAGGCACCTGCCACCATGCCCGGCTAATTTTTTGTATTTTTAGTAAAGATGGGGTTTCACTGTGTTAGCCAAGACAGTCTCGATCTCCTGACCTTGTGATCCACCCGCCTTGGCCTCCCAAAGTGCTGGGATTACAGGCGTGAGCCACCATGCCCGGCCTAGCCTGGAAATTTTAAAGATCTGCAAAGTTTCCTAATAGGATTGCACAGGATCTATTGCTTAACTTGAGAATTTACATCTTAACAATATTGAATCTTCCAATTCATGAAATATCTATTTAGATTTTATTTAATTTTTCTCAGCAATTTATAGACTTTAGTGTACAGCATTTATATGTCTTTTGTTAAATTTGTCCTGAAGTATTTGATATTTTAAATATAATATTGTCAATGGCATTATTTTTTTAAAAAATTTTAGTTTCCAATTTTGTGTTGCTAGTGTATAGGATTATAATTGATTTTTTTTTTGTTTTTTTGAGATGGAGTCTCCCTGTCTGGAGAACAGTGGCACCATCTCAGCTCACCACAACCTCTGCCTCCTGGGTTCAAGTGATTCTCCTGCCTCAGCCTCCTGAGTAGCTGGGATTACAGGTGTGTGCCACCACACCTGATTAATTTTTGTATTTTTAGTAGAGACAGGATTTTCACCATGTTGGCCAGGCTGGTCTTGAACTCCTGACCTCCAGTGATCCACCTACCTTGGCCTCTCAAAGTGCTGGGATTACAGGCATGAGCCACCATGTCTGGCCAACTTACTTAGTTTTAATAGCTATTTTTAGATTCCTTAGCATTTTCTACAGAGATAATCTTTTTTTTTTTCTTTTTTGAGATGGAGTCTTGCTCTGTCGCCCAGGCTGGAGTGCAGTGACACAATCTTGGCTCACTGCAACCGCCGCCTCCCGGGTTCAAGCGATTCTCCTGCCTCAGCTCTAGAGTAGCTGGGACTACAGGCACGTGCCACCATGCCCCCTAATTTTTGTAATTTTAGTACAGATGGGGTTTGGGGTTTCACTATATTGATCAGGCTGGTCTTGAACTCCTGACCTCAGGTGATCCACCAGCCTTGGCCTCCCAAAGTGCTGGGATTACAGGCATGAGCCACTGTACCCGGCCAAGATAATCTTGTTCTTTGCAAATAAATATAGTTGTACCTATTCCTTTCAAATCTATATGCCTTTTATTTCTTTTTCTTGCCTTATTGCACTAGCTAGAATTGCTAGTACAACATTAAACAAAATATCCTTACCTTCTTGATATTAGGAGGAACGCATTCAATCTTTCATCATTAAGTATGATGTTATCTGTATTATTCTAAATACTCTTTATCAGGCTAAAGAAGTTTCCTTCTCTTCCTACTTTGCTGAGAATTTTTACCATGAATCAATGTTGAATTTTCTCAAATGCTTTTTTCTGTACTTATTGAGATGATCATAAGTTTTGCTTTGTTTTTTAGTTGGTTAATGAGGTGAATAACATAGATAGATTTAAAATGTTAAACCACCGTTTCATTCCTGAGATATATGGCTACTCAGGTTATTTCTTCTCTTCTTCCTTTTTTTTTTTTTGAAACAGGGTCTCACTCTGTCACCAAGGCTGGAGTGCAATGGCACAATAATGGTTTACTGCAGCCTCAACCTCCTGGGCCTAACCAGTCCTCCTACCTCAGCCTCACAAAGCACTGGGATTACAGGCATGAGCCACCACACCTGGTGTGCAACATGTTTTACTTATTTATTTAATTTTTTTGGAGACAGAGTCTTGCTCTGTCCCCTAGGCTGCAGTGCAGTGGCATGATCTCGGCTCACTGCAACCTCCGCCTCCTGGGTTCAAGTGATTCTCTTGCCTCAGCCTCCCAAGTAGCTGGGATTACAGGCATGCGCCACCACGCCCAGCTTAATTTTGTATTTTTAGTGGAGACGGGGTTTCTCCATGTTGGTCAGGCTGGTCTCAAACTCCCGACCTCAGGTGATCCACCCACCTTGGCCTCCCAAAGTGCTGGGTTTACAGGTGTGAGCCACCGCGCGTAGCCCTCAATGTGTTTTAGAAAGCTAAAATTAGCTGAGTGTGCTGGCTCACACCTGTAATCCCAGCACTTTGAGAGGCTTAGGCGGGTGGAGTGCTTTAGCCCAGGAGTTTGAGACCAGCCTGGGCAACATGACAAAACCCCGTCTCTATAAATACTTAAAAAGTTAACTGGGCATGGTGGCATCCGCCTGTAGTCCCAGTTAGTTGGAAAGCTGAGGTGGGAGGATTGCTTGAGCCTAGGAGGTTGAGGCTGCAATGAGCCGAGATCCCACCACCGCACTCCAGCCTGGGTGGCAGAGAGAGATCCTGTTCCAAAAAAAAGAAGGAAAGAACAATGAAATTTACTTAGTAGGGCCGGACACAGTGGCTCACACCTGTAATCCCAATACTTTGGAAGGCTGAGGCGGCCAGATCACACGAGGCCAAGAGCTTAAGACCAGCCTGGCCAACATGGTGAAACCCTGTCTCTACTAAAAATACAAAAATTAGCTGGGCATGGTGGTGTGTGCCTGTAATCCCAGCTACTCCAGTGGCTGAGGCAGGAGAATTGCTTGAACCTGGGAGGCGCAGGTTGCAGTGAGCTGAGATTGTGCCAGTGCACTCCAGCTTGGACTACAGTGTGAGACTCTGTCTCAAAAAAAGAAAAAAAATAAGTTTATTTATTACACCATATATTGCAATGATGGCATCTGGCATCTGCTCATTTGTCGTTCAACAAACGTTTCTTGAGCATTCACCTGGCATGTAATTTTTTTGGGGGAAATTTATGACTTTGGTTTGCTATTTGTCAAAAGGCACTCTCTGTTCCTTCCTCCCATTTACCATATGCTAAACAGTTTACTAGAAGCTTTAAATGCTTTGATTCATTTAATCATCAAAACAACCTAGCTAAGTGGATATTATTATTTCCTTTTATACATGAATAAAATGGAATATCAGATAACTTAAATCAAATGGAATCAACTTAAATAAAAAAACTTTAATCCCTTAATCAATAGTTTACATTTATTGAGTGCTTATCAGGTGCCAAGCACTGTAATAAATGCTTTATAAGTATTATTGCCTCTATTTCCTTATGGAGTGAAGGCTTTGATTATACTCATCTTACTAATGAGTATGAGGTTAAATTACCTAATACCCAAGGTCATCCTTTTAGAAAGTGGTAGAGCTGGTACCAGCACTGTACTTCACATTAGAAAACCTGTGTTCACATCTTGTTTTTACAGTGTGATCTTGTGATCTTACAGCCACTGAACAGCTCTGAGCTTTAGTTTCATTTGTTTTTCAGCTTTAAGTTTTTTAATGATTATATCATCTCAAAAGATTGTTTTAAAGGTCTGAAAGGAATTCCTATACCTGTAAACACTGCACATGTATTATTCAAGCAAACATTTGTCACTAATTATGTGAAAAGCATACACTATTAGATGATGCATTAAAAATAATTTATTGTAGGGCGTGGTGGCTCACACCTGTAATCCCAGCACTTTGGGAGGCCGAGGCGGGTGGATCACGAGGTCGGGAGATGGAGACCATCCTGGCTAACACGGTGAAACCCCGTCTCTACTAAAAATACAAAAAATTAGCCGGGCGTGGTGGCAGTTGCCTGTAGTCCCAGCTACTTGGGAGGCTGAGGCAGGAGAATGGTGTGAACCCCAGAGGTGGAGCTTGTGGTGAGCCAAGATCGCACCACTGCACTCCAGCCTGGACGACAGAGCGAGACTCTGTCTCAAAAAAAAAAAATAATAACAATTTGTTGTTCTTATGTGGTTTATAGAAATGAGATTAGATATAAATAAAGACTACAGATAAAAAGGAATCCCCTTCGCCGGGCGCGGTGGCTCATGCCTGTAATCCTAGCACTTTGGGAGGCCGAGGCAGGCGGACCACAAGGTCAGGGGTTCGAGACCAGCCTGACCAACATGGTGAAACCCCGTCTCTACTAAAAACACAAAAATTAGCTGGGCGTGGTGGCGGGCACCTGTAATCCCAGCTACTCAGGAGGCTAAGGCAGGAGAATTGCTTGAACCCGGGAGGCAGAGGTTGCAGTGAGCCAAGATTGCACCACTGCACTCCAGCCTAGGCGACAGAGCAAGACTGTCTCAAAAAAAAAAAAAAAAAGGAATCCCCTTCTCACAATTAAATTGGGCTCTCCTAAACTGGGCTCTGAGATCAGACAGATCCAGATCCAGACAAATCCAGGTTTGAAACCTTAGCTTCACCACCCACTGGCTGTGTGACTTTGAGCAAATTACCCAAACTTTCTTCTTTTTCTTCTTATTCTTCTTTCTTTCTTCTTCTTCTTCTCTTCCTCTTCCTCTTATTCTCCTCCTTCTCCTTCTTCTTCTTTTTTGAAACAGGGTCTTGCTCTGTCACCCAGGCTGGAGTGCAGTGGCTTGATCTTGGCTCACTGCAACCTCCACCTCCTGTGTTCAAGCGATTTTTCTGCCTCAGCCTCCCCAGTAGCTGGGACTACAGGTGCGCACCACCACGCCTGGCTAATTTTTGTATTTTTGGTAGAGATGGAGTTTCACCATTTTGGCCAGGCTGGTCTCGAACTCCTGACCTTGTGATCCACCTGCCTTGGCCTCCCAAAGTGCTGGGATTACAGGTGTGAGCCACTGCTCCCAGCTCAAGTTTTTGTTTTAAGGTTAATTTTCTTTTTTTTCTAAGAAAGCTTTTTCTACCCAAAGTTCTCAAAGATTTTTCTCTTGTTTTCTTGCAAAAGTTTTAGCTTTTACGATTAGGCCTATGATCCATTTCCATTTAATTTTTATGGTATCATATACTATATGAGTATGATATAAGCATTGAAATTGTTTTTCCTTATGGATATCTAATTGTTTCTGCACCATTTTTAGAAAAGACTACCCTTTCTTAACATCTTTGTTGAAAATCAACTTACCACATATGTGTGAGTCTGTTCCTGAACTCTCTATTCTATTGATCTACAGATCTTTCTAATAGCACAGTTTTGATTACCATGCTTTACAGTGCTTATAACTCAGTCTTGAAACTGGGTAGCTTAAGTCCTCCTCTCTTTTATCTTTTTTTTGGAGGGATAGAGATGGGGTCTCCCATATTGCTTAGGCTGGTCTTGAACTCCTAGGCAATGAACATTTTCAAAATTTCAAAAAATGGAGCAAAAATCATTCAATTACTTATGAAAAAGAAGAAAAATATTTTCACACATATTAACTCTTTTAATCCTAACAGCCCTTTGAGGTAGGTACCATATAATCATTCCCATTTTACAGATGGAGAAGTTGATTCCCAGAGACTTTGAATAACTTGCCCAAGGAAATGAATAAGGTTTGAACCCAGGCAGTCTGGCTTTAGGGCATGTAAGCAATTAGGTAAGCAATTCTCTTGCCTTGGCCTCCCAAAGTGCTGGGATTACAGGCATGGGCCATCATGCCCGTGCCCCCTGCTTTTCTTTTTTTTTTTTTTTAGGAGACAGGGTCTTACTACATTGTCCAGGCTGGAGTGCAGTGGCTATTCACAGGCACAATTCCACTACTGATCAGCACAGGAGTTTTGACCTGCTCAGTTCCCAACCTGGGCTAGTTCACCTCTCCTTAGGCAACCTGGTGGTCCCCCAGCTCCCAGGAGGTCACCATATTGATGCAGAATTTAGTGCAAACAGACACCTGATGGACGTAGCACACTATGGCCCAGAACTCTTGGACTCAAGCCATCCTCCTGCCTCAGCCTCCCATGTAGCTGGGACAACAGGGTGCGCCACTGCACCTGGCTCTTTTATTTTTTTAAATTTTCTCTCTCCCCCTTGATTTTGTGCAGTTTCATTATGATGAGATTCTTCTTCTTCTTTTTTTTTTTTGAGATGACATTTCACTCGTCATCCAGGCTGGAGTGCAATGGCGCGATCTTGGCTCACTGCAACCTCTGCCCCCCAGGTTCAAGGGATTCTCCTGCCTCAGCCATCACAGTAGGTGGGATTCCAAGCATGTGCCACTATGCCTGGCTAATTTTTTGTATTTTTAGTAGAGAAGGGGTTTCCCCATGTTGGCCAGGCTGGTCTCGAACTTCCAACCTCAAGTGATCCACCTGCCTCGGCCTCTCAAAGTGCTGGGATTACAGGCGTGAGCCACCGTGCCCGGCTCTTCTTTTTTTTTTTTTTTTTTTTAATAAGGCTAGTCAAGTGGAGCAGTGGGAGTAGAGAAGGAACAAAGAAATCTGTAACTGGTTGTGATCAATTAGTTGCAAACACCACTGCACTTGGACCAGCTATCTTCTTTTTAAATATCAACCTAGGAGCAGAATAATTGGCACAGAAACTATTGTCAAAATTAATTTGACTATGTACTGGCTGATTGCTTTCTAGAATGGCTGCACTAATCTATACTCCCATCAGGGTCCCTATATACCTCATTTTGGCTAACACTTAGCATTACTCAGATTTCTAGTTTTTGCCAATCTAATGGTATAATGTGATATATCAATGTTGTTTCTTTAAGCAGCTGTATTGAATTGACATACAATAAACTGCAAAGGGTACAATTTGATGAGTTTTGACATTTGCATACACCTGTGAAACTATCTTTACAATAAAGATTATGAGTGTATCCATCATCCCCAAAAGCTTCCTCATGCTCCTTTGATTGTTTTGGGTTTTTTTGTTTTGTTTTGTTTTCTGAGACGGAGTTTCGCTCTTGTTGCCCAGGCTGGAGTGCAATGGCGTGATCTCAGCTCACTGCAACCTCCACCTCCCAGGGTCAAGCGATTCTCCTGCCTCAGCCTCCCGAGTAGCTGGGATTACAGGCATGCACCACCACACCCAGCTAATTTTTGTATTTTTAGTAGAGATAGGGTTTCTCCATGTTGATCAGGCTGGTCTCAAACTCCCAACCTCAGGTGATCCGCCCGCCTCAGCCTCCCAAAGTGCTGGGAATTACAGGCATGAGCCACTGCGCCCAGCCTGTTTTGCGGTTTTTTGTTTTGTTTTGTTTTTTTGTTGAGACTGAGTCTTGCTCTGTCACTCATGCTGGAGTGCAGTAGCTCTATCTTGGCTTACTACACCTCTGCCTCCCAGGCTGAAGTGATCCTACTGCCTCAGCCTTCTAAGTAGCTGGGATTACAGGTACCTGCCACTACGCCCGGCTTATTTTTATATTTTTAGTAGAGATGGGATTTCACTATGTTGGGCAGGCTGGTCTTGAACTTCTGACCTCAAGTGATCTGCTTGTCTCAGCCTTCCAAAGTGCTGGGATTACAGGCATGAGCCATCGCACCCGGGCCCTCATGCCCCTTTGAGTCTGAGCTTTTCCATCTCCAAAGTGCAGCTTAGTTGTAAGGATGTATGGTGTTAGCTTAGCTTGGGGACTGGCACACAGAAAGCACTGGGGAAATGAAGCTTATATTACTGCAAACATACAGCTGGGTAGTTAAGTATACATGCCCTAAAGCCAGACTGACTGGGTTCAAACCTTATTCATTTCCTTGGGCAAGTTATTCAAAGTCTCTGGGAATCAACTTCTCCATCTGTAAAATGGGAATGATTATATGGTACCTACCTCAAAGGGCTATTAGGATTAAAAGAGTTAATATGTGGCTCTTCTCCCTTTAAGACCAGCCCTGCCCCTGCCCCTGCCCCTGCCCCTGCCCCTGCCCCTGCCCCTGCCTCTGCCTCTGCCTCTGCCTCTCCCCTCTCCCCTCTCCCCTCTCCCTCTCGGTCTCCCTCTCCCTCTCTTTCCACGGTCTCCCTCTGATGCCGAGCCGAAGCTGGACTGTACTGCTGCCATCTCGGCTCACTGCAACCTCCCTGCCTGATTCTCCTGCCTCAGCCTGCCGAGTGCCTGCGATTGCAGGCACGCGCCACCACGCCTGACTGGTTTTCGTACTTTTTTGGTGGAGACGGGGTTTCGCTGTGTTGGCCGGGCTGGTCTCCAGCTCCTAACCGCGAGTGATCCGCCAGCCTTGGCCTCCCGAGGTGCCGGGATTGCAGACGGAGTCTGGTTCACTCAGTGCTCAATGGTGCCCAGGCTGGAGTGCAGTGGCGTGATCTCAGCTCGCTACAACCTCCATCTCCCAGCCGCCTGCCTTGGCCTCCCAAAGTGCCGAGATTGCAGCCTCTGCCCGGCCACCACCCCGTCTGGGAAGTGAGGAGCGTCTCTGCCTGGCCGCCCATCGTCTGGGATGTGAGGAGCCCCTCTGCCTGGCTGCCCAGTCTGGAAAGTGAGGAGCGTCTCTGACCGGCCGCCATCCCATCTAGGAAGTGAGGAGCGCCTCTTCCCGGCAGCCATCCCATCTGGGAAGTGAGGAGCGTCTCTGCCCGGCCGCCCATCGTCTGAGATGTGGGGAGCGCCTCTGCCCCGCCGCCCCGTCTGGGATGTGAGGAGCGCCTCTGCCCGGCCGCGACCCCGTCTGGGAGGTGAGGAGCGTCTCTGCCCAGCCGCCCCATCTGAGAAGTGAGGAGCCCCTCCGCCCGGCAGCCGCCCCGTCTGAGAAGTGAGGAGTCCCTCTGCCCGGCAGCCACCCCGTCTGGGAAGTGAGGAGCGTCTCCGCCCGGCAGCCGCCCCGTCCGGGAGGGAGGTGGGGGGGTCAGCCCCCCGCCCGGCCAGCCGCCCCGTCCGGGAGGGAGGTGGGGGGGTCAGCCCCCCGTCCGGGAGGGAGGTGGGGGCGGTCAGCCCCCCGCCCGGCCAGCCACCCTGTCCGGGAGGTGAGGGGCGCCTCTGCCCAGCCGCCCCTACTGGGAAGTGAGGAGCCCCTCTGCCTGGCCAGCCACCCCGTCCAGGAGGGAGGTGGGGGAGTCAGCCCCCCACCCGGCCAGCCGCCCCGTCCGGGAGGGAGGTGGGGGGGTCAGCCCCCCGCCCGGCCAGCCACCCCGTCCAGGAGGGAGGTGGGGTGAGCCCCCCGCCCAGCCAGCCGCCCCGTCCGGGAGGTGAGGGGCGCCTCTGCCCAGCCGCCCCTACTGGGAAGTGAGGAGCCCCTCTGCCGGGCCAGCCACCCCGTCCGGGAGGGAGGTGGGGGGATCAACACCCCGCCCGGCCAGCCGCCCCGTCCGGGAGGGAGGTGGGGGGGTCAGCCCCCGCCCGGCCAGCCAGCCCGTCCGGGAGGGAGGTGGGGGGGTCAGCCCCCCGCCCGGCCAGCCGCCCCGTCCGGGAGGTGAGGGGCGCCTCTGCCCGGCCACCCCTACTAGGAAGTGAGGAGCCCCTCTGCCCAGCCACCACCTCGTCTGGGAGGTGTACCCAACAGCTCATTGAGAACGGGCCATGATGACAATGGCGGTTTTGTGGAACAGAAAGGGGGGAAAGGTGGGGAAAACATTGAGAAATCGGATGGTTGCCGTGTCTGTGTAGAAAGAAGTAGACATGGGAGACTTTTCATTTTGTTCTGTACTAAGATAAATTCTTCTGCCTTGGGATCCTGTTGATCGGTGACCTTACCCCCAACCCTGTGCTCTCTGAAACATGTGCTGTGTCCACTCAGGGTTAAATGGATTAAGGGCGGTGCAAGATGTGCTTTGTTAAACAGATGCTTGAAGGCAGCATGCTCGTTAAGAATCATCACCACTCCCTAATCTCAAGTACCCAGGGACACAAACACTGCGGAAGGCTGCAGGGTCCTCTGCCTAGGAAAACCAGAGACCTTTGTTCACTTGTTTATCTGCCAACCTTCCCTCCACTATTGTCCTATGACCCTGCCAAATCCCCCTCTGCGAGAAACACCCAAGAATGATCAATAAAAAAAATAAAAATTAAAAAAAAAGTTAATATGTGTGAAAATATTTCTTCTTTTTCATAAGTAATTGAATGATTTTTGCTCTATTTTTTGAAATTTTGAAAATATTCATTAGCACCTTCTCTGACATGTAGGGATTTGGAACTCCAACTTGGGAGCTTCTGAATTAAGTGTAGTTTCTCAGTGGTCTCCTTGCAAATTTGGTACTATTAGGTCTCTGATGAAAGCGGTAATGGTAATTCTCAGAGTCACCACAAGAGGGAATAGAAATTTACTCTTGTGGCTTGTGAGGACAATTCAATTATATTTCTGATCTACCCACTTGGAAATAACTATTTGATATCCGAGCAACCAGCCCCTTCTTGGTATGTTAGATCTGGGACTTACACAAATGACTTAGTGTTAGTGTTTTGACTATCCTGAGTCTCTGTGGTTGAGCACTACAACACACATATGAACAAAAGGATTCACAGCCTTTGGAGCATAACCTGTTTACAAGTAGCAGTAGAAGTACTAAAATAATAACAATGGCCAACATTTATTAAGTTAACATGTTTGGCGCTATTCTGTTTTCCATTAACCTATCCTATTATGATAGGTATTCTTATTATCTTATTTCCTCACTTTAAAGGTAAAAATATTGGGGTCTAGAGGTGAGGAAACTTGCCAAAGAAGACATGGCCATTAGAATGATTTATAGTTAATGAAAGGTAATTTCATAGTAGGAGAAAAAAAGAGACTATTTTAATGAAGGTTTTTTTTTTTTGACACAGTCTTACCCTCAAAAAACAATTAAATATATGTACTTTACTCTTAGAGAGTTTGTGTAAATAAACTAGCTTTTGTAAAAGCACCTGACAAGTTCTGACATATAGTAGGAGCTAAGGACACACTTAGTTGGATGCCTCGGGAAACTTGGAAGCCGACCCTGAAACAGGATTTCTCAGTAAGAGATGTTTGTTTGTTTGTTTGGGAGACAGTCTCACTCTGTCACCCAGGCTGGAGTGCAGTAGCACAATCATGACTCTGCAGCCAGACTTAACTCCCAGGTCAATTGATCCTCCTGCCTTAGCCTCCCGAGTAGCCGGGACTGCAGGCATGTGCCACCATGCCCAGCTAATTTTCTTAATTTTTGCAGAGATGAAATCTCACTGTGTTGCTCTGGTTGGTCTTGAACTTCTGGGCTCAAGTGATCCTCACCTTGGCCTTTCAAAGTGCTGGGATTACAGGCATGAGCCATCATGCCCAGCCTTTTTTTTCTCTTTTTTTTTTTGGCGGGGGTGGGGTGGGGGACAGGGTCTTAAGGAAACGCTCCAAGAAGTCAGTAGGGCATAGGAGAAGTTGAGCTGGGAAGGGAAAAAGCAAAAAGCCACGCAAAGGTGAGATTTCAGGCAAAGTCCTCAAGAGAGTAGTTTAATCCCTATTAATCCCTGAAGGAGCTCAAGAGTATAAACTCTACCCAGAGGCAAGAATGCCAGTCTTTCAGACTCCTGCATCTAATCAATCATTTGCTAGAGACCAGGGAATAAGTAAGGAACAAAACCATTCTAGTAACTTGAGGATCTTCCTCTTTTGAAGTGTCGTCTCAGGAGCTGGTTACTGGGAGCAAAAACAAACAGAAGCCAAGGGAGGGTCAGGAGGAACTGGTAGAAGATCTGAGAAGATCTGGGCAGAGCGACAGTATACAGGGTCGTGGTTTTCTCTTCTCAGAAAAACTGGGCTCAAATTCTTGCTTTGCCACTTACCAGCTGTCTGCTGTTTCCCTTTCTTCATCCATAAAGTGGTCACAGTAAATTAATACCTGCCCTTACTTTCTCGCAGGATCAAAAAAGATAAAATGAAACAGTGCAGAGAAAGCCCTTTGAAAGTTAAAATGCTAGGCTGGACGTGGTGGCTCATGCCTGTAATCCCAGTACTTTGGGAGGCCAAGGAGGGCAAATTGCTTGATCCCAAGGGTTCCAGAAGAGCCTGGGCAACACGGCGAAACCCCATCTCTACCAAAAATACAAAAAGTAGCTGGGTGTGGTGGTGGGTGCCTGTAGTTCTAGCTACTCAGGAGGCTGAGGTGGGAGAATTATCTGAGACCGTGAGGTCAAGGCTGTAGTGAGCTATGATTGTGCCACTGCACTCCAGCCTGGGTGACAGAGTGAGACTCTGTCTCAAAAATAAGTAAATTAATTAAATTTAAACAAACAAACAACAAAAAAGTTAAAATGCTAGATAAATTCTACAGGATTTATTCCACAGACATTTACTAAACATCTACTATAAACCAGGCACAGTTCTAGGTGCTGAGATACATAATCTAGTAGGAAACTCATAACCTATTAAGGAGCTTTTTATTCTAGTGAGGGAGACAGAAAAGGAAATAGAAAATTATATGACCTTGGGATAAGTGATGTCATTAAAGTATGTTGGGGAAGGGGAGCCAGTGGCACAAAAGAGGATATGACCAGTTCTATCAGGGGGCAGAAAACCAAGAGAGATTTCCAGAAGAGCTGACATCCAGCTACCTAAAAGATGGGCATGGTTTGTCAGGTATATATGGCCAGAAAGGGTGTTTCTGGCAAGGAAAACAGCACAAGCAAAATCAAAGAGGTATAAAATAACCTGATAAATCAGGGAACTTAAATTCAACCCAAAGGCCTTGAATGTCAGGACTAGGATCTTGAACTTAATCCTACAAGAAAGTGAGAGCCGGCCAGGTGCAGTGGCTCATGGCTGTAATCCCAGCACTTTAATTCGAGACCAGCCTGGCCAACATGGTGAAACCCCATCTCTACTAAAAATACAAAAATTAGCTGGGCATGGTGGCAGGCACCTGTAATCTCAGCTACTCAGGAGGCTGAGGCAGGAGAATCACTTGAACCGGGGAGGCAGAGGATTGCGCCATTGCACATTGCACTCCAGCCTGGGTGACAAGAGCGAGACTCAAAAAAAAAAAAGAAAGAAAGAAAGTGAGAGCCATTGAAGGATTCTGAGCTGGGGAATGGCTTGACCAATTTTGCATTGGAAAATGATTACTCTGACTGGCAGTGGTGTGAACAATGCCCTGGAGAAAGGAAGACCAGATAGGAGACAATTAGAGTGGTAGACAATGAAAAGCCCAGGGGACGCACTCATATGACTTAGATTACTGAGTGGAGAATATGCCTTTTAATAGGATTATAAATCTTATTATTATTTTGCCAAGAGTGAGGGAAAATTAAAGTTTCATATTTTCCCTATTAATCCCAAGGAAGAAACCAGGGATATGGATAAGATTAGGGAGAAACAGCCGGGCACAGTGGCTAACGCCTGTAATCCCAGCACTGTGGGAGACAGAAGTGGGTGGATTACCTGAGGTTAGGAGTTCGAGGCCAGCCTAGCCAACATGTCAAAACCCCGTCTCTACTAAAAATACAAAAAAATCAGCCGGGCGTGGTGGCACGTGCCTGTAATCCCAGCTACTCAGGAGACTGAGACAGGAGAATCACTTGAACCTGGGGGGCAGAGGTTGCAGTGACCCGAGATCGTGCCACTGCACTGCAGCCTGGACTCTGTCTCAAACAAAACAAAACAAACAAACAAACAAAAAAGATTGGGGAAAACCTGTAGACAAAATAAAATATTAATAATAAATCAGGGCTGGGAGCAGTGGCTCACGCCTATAATCCTAGCACTTTGGGAGGCCAAGGCAGGCGGATCACCTGAGGTCAGGAGTTCAAGACCAGCCTGGCCAACATGGTGAAAACTCATCTCTACTAAAAATACAAAAATTAGCCGGGTATGGTGGTGCGTGCCTGTAATCCCAGCTACTCGGGAGGCTGAGGCAGGAGAATCGCTTGAACCCGGGAGGCAGAGGTTGCAGTGAGTCAAGATTGCATCATTGCACTCCAGCCTGGGCAACAGAGCAAGTCTCAAAAAAATAATAATAATAATTTAAAAATTAAAAAAAATCAGCCCAGGCACAGTGGTTCATACCTGTAATCCCAGCACTTTGGGAGACCGAGGCAGAAGGATCACTTGAGCCCCGGAGATCGAGACCAGCCTGGGCAACATAGGGAGACACTATCTCTACAAAAAATACAAAAATTAGCTGAGCATAGTGGTGTAGTCCCAGCTATTTGGGAGGCTGAGGTGGGAGGATCACTTGAGTCTGGGAGGTCAAGGCTGCAGTGAACCATGATCACACCACTGCACTCCAGCTTGGACAACAGAGTGGACTCTGTCTCAACAAAATTTTTTAAATAAAAACAAAAATTAGCTGGTTGGGGTGGCGCACATCTGTGGTCCCAGCTACTTGGGAGGTTGAGGTGGGAGGATCAATTGAGCCCAGGAGTTAGAGGCTGCAGTGAGCCATAATCATGCCACTGTACTCCAACTTGGGCAACAGAGCAAACCCTGTCTCAAAAAAATTAAATAAATAGAAAGTGAGGCCGGGCTTGGTGGCTCATGCCTATAATCCCAGCACTTTGGGAGGCCGAGGCGGGTGGATCACCCGAGGTCATGAGTTCAAGACCAGCCTGGCCAACATAGTGAAATCCCGTCTCTACTAAAACAATAGCTATTATTAATAAATAATAATAATACGAAAATGAGTCTGGCATGGTGGCACATGCCTGTAATCCCAGCTACTCTGGAGGCTGAGGCAGGAGAATCGCTGGAACCCAGGAGGTGGGGGTTGCAGTGAGCCAAGATCACGCCACTGCACTCCAGCCGGGGCAACAGAGCGACACTCCATCTCAAAAAAAAAAAAAAAAAAAGAAAAGAAAGAAAGAAAGAAAGTGAGATCCTTTAAAAAAATTTTTAAAGGAAGATTTTTGTTTTTCCCGTGGGAAGTTTTTCCAGAGAAGAGAACCATCTTCAGTGTTACAGCTCTTTTAGAACTTGTCTAAGAGACAAATTTCAGTGAACACTGGAAAACCTGATAGATAAATTCTAAAAGAGGTGTAACACTGAAAATTTTAACTATACCAATAACCGTAATCAACTGATGGACATCTGGGAGCAAAGCTTTCCAACATTTTGCCTCTTCTTTCTGGTTCTCTGCTGTTGTTTCTCTTTTGAACAGCAGATGGCAGGATAATCCCACAACAGGTGGTCATGATTTAATTTAATTGCAATGAGAAGAAAATTGCTTCTTTTCCCACATGTATTTCTTTCCCGAGATAAACAGTACATAGGGAATCTGCCTCTTTATTGGAAGTAAGATATGTAAGAAGGTAGCTTTTTATCAAGGAACAGCAAGGTAACTAACATAAATTCTGAGCCTTAGATTATTACACTGTGCAAAACCAAGTTTCTGAGAAAGGAGCAAATGGAGGTTGAAAGCCAACTGTTAAAATTCCACATATTCTAGGTTTCCTCAGTTAATAATCATAAAAAGTTTATAGCCAGAAAGTCACAGAGGCCCTTCTGTTGCAATTGTTAGGGTTTAGAGTCAGTGGGAACACCCTTCTCACCCAGGGGATTTTAAAAGCCAATCCCACCTCCTCCCCACAGTCCTCTCCTCTAACGCTCATTTCCCATCGCCTCACAAAATTGCCAGGGTAATTGACTCTTAGATGAGATGAGTTTGACTTTCTACCCTGATTTTGTAACAGAAGTTCTTTTGGTGAGGTTCTTTGTTTGAAAATGCACAATAAAAATGGCTTTAGAATGACTTCAGAGGACTCTTTCTTTTTCTGGTGCCAATAACAGATTCCAAAGCAGCTATTATTCGAGGTGGGTGATAGCATCCCTTGAGTCTGTTTAAGTATCGGTTTTCAAAGTGCCTAGGAACCTGAAATGTCCTGTATGGTATATTTGCAGGTGCATAATTGGCCAAGTGCTCCAGGGGTTATAAAGATTGCCTTCCTGTAGTTGGAATAGACAGATTTAGCCTCTTACTGAAACTGAAGGCTGCAATGTCGATAACAAATCTGATTCTAACTCTCCTGTGTCACTTCAGCCCAAAGGTGCCTTTGTCTCCCAGGAGAAAGAGGTTAGAGGTAAGTGAATGGCCCTTAACCAGAGCCATGTAGAAAACATTGCTAAGGAAGACTTCTGTCCTGAGAGTGGAGGTTTAGGGCTGTTGTGTGTGAAGTAAATTTGCTTTGTTCACAGCCAATCTGACTGAATGCAAGTATTGCTGAGGTGACTGGAGCTGAGCAGCAGCAAACTGCTTTAAAAGCAGCTTTCAGTGGGAAACTTTAAGCATACAATGACTTTATTTTTGTTAAACATAATTCTCCAACCTTGCTTTTTTATTGCACTAACCAAAATAAATCTGGATAAACTTAAAAGGCTGCCTTGATGTCAGTAGGAAAATGGATATTGTCTCTCCCAAAAGTGTTTGAATGGTAGTACATAATCCAGCTACATCCAGATAAGAATACACCTCCGCCTGTAGAAAGCTTTCCTGGAACGGAATATCACCAAGAGTATTCACTTTGGGGCTTGATGGTTCCAGCCCGTCTTACTAAAACTTCTAAAGAAATAGTTTGCCTGCTCTTTCACTCCTCCATTTGTAGTTAATACTTATGTGTACTTAGTGGTGTTCTGAACTCGTTTTATTTCTCAAGGCCTCTGGCATTTGATGATACCTGTGTAGCAGGAGCTTTCATCATACCAAACACAGGGTGGTGTTTAGTGGAGAAGGGGCCAGGAGAGGAAAAAAGCCTAGGCTTTTTCCTAAGTTACTTAACTTGGGAAACCAATGGGCTCCTTTTAAGATTAAATGTGTCTTTAAAATACCAGGATCTTCAGTTATGAAGATATGGGCAAAACTGCTTCCCCCAGACAAACCTGAGGTGGGGGATGTAGGTGTCACATTCAAATCAAAAAGGTGCCTCTCGACAGGAAAGATTTAATCAGCTCTCCTTCCCAGGATCGGCTGCCAGGTTTGAACATTTACTTGTCTGAGTTCCAGGCAGGAGACACTGCTAATTATGGGAGCAATTCCCATGGCTACAGAAAAGAACTGTCTGAGCTGGGGAGTCAAAGCTCTGATCAAGAGGGGACTGAGAGGAAAAAAGCCCCCAGCATTCTCAGAGGAAATTCTGGAGTTGACAAGATACATGCCTTCTCTGCAGGAATGCCCCCTATGTCTGGCATTTGAAGATCTAGAAACATCCTTCCCTTCACCTTCCTAACTTACGTGTTAAGAATCCCTTTGTTTGACAAATAGAATTTTCAAAGCAGTTTCTTTCGTTCAAACACTACGTGATTAAGTTTGTTTTGGAAAAAAACACAGAATGAGGACTTTACTAAGAGTGATTCTCACAAATGATGGTACCTGAAAAGAGGCAAACTTGGCCATCAGGGCAGCCAAAATGGCACAAGCATTTGGAACTTGTTGCCTTATCCTTGGCAAAAACACCACTGGATCCTTTCCGCTCTACGTAAAGTAAGCTGTGGCAAAGTTTACTTTTCTTGTGGCACAAAATCTAGACTCACAGTGAGCTTCTTCACCATTAGCTTCAATTTATATTCTGCCTCTCTTCTTTGTCCATTATTCAGGGCACCTGCTCTCTGTCCCTCCCCCACTCCTCCAGCTGTCTGTCTGTCTCATTTGTGTCAATTAGGAATTCAATACTGCTTGATTTAACTGAATGACTTTCCCTGTACAGAATCTCAACTACAGACAGGGCATCAACCATCACTCCCATTCCCCAGAATAAAAAATTCTGAAAAGCCAAAGGCATGCAAGGATACCTAAGAAAGGAGCAAGAGGTCCTTGCTAGCTATGGCAGTGAGCCTGAGAAAGATGGCAAGACCGCATTTCCTGACACCCAGTTATGTATTTGGTGGCCTACCAAGAGTCAGCATTGCATCCAAGATCATTTGAGTCTACTCTATTTAGTAAAGGTTTTCAAAGAGGATCATAAGACTTAGAAATCAAGAACCAACTGGAAGAAATAAACTTTTTATATCATTTCCTAGTTTACAACATGCTTTCCCATCCTCAGAAGAATGACTTTGTCTTTCTGTTAATTCAGTCATTGAAAACATCGGTCCTATTCTTTAGTCAACTGCCTCTATTCACCTACTATGTGCCAGGCAGTGTTATCAGAGCTGAAAACAGTGTTCTAAGAACAGAAAATAAAATAAAGTTCTTATTCTCATGCAACTTACATTCTAATGGGAAGGATCAAAATAATAAGTAAGTAGACCTATAGTGTATTAAATGATAATGAGGGTATTGAGAATCATAAAGCAGTGTTAAGGGAGATAGAAATTATGGTTTGAGCAGAGTCTTTTTTTTTTTTTTTTTTTTGAGATGGAGTCTCACTCTCTTGCCAGGCTGGAGGGCAATGGTGTGATCTCAGCTCAATGCAACCTCCGACTCCCTGGTTCAAGCAATTCTCCTGCCTCAGCCTCCTGAGTAGCTGGGATTACAGGCACGCGCCACCATGCCCAGCTAATTTTTTGTATTTTTAGTACAGATGGGGTTTCACCATGTTGTCCAGGATGGTCTCGATCTCCTGACCTTGTGATCTGCCCGCCTCGGCCTCCCAAAGTGTTGGGATTACAGGTGTGAGCCACCGCGCCCGGCTGGACAGAGTTTTTTTAGTTTACAAAGGGTAGACAGAAAGAACTCACTGATGAGGTGATTTGAGCTGAGACATAAAAGAAGAGGGAGAACAAGCCATATAAATATGAGGGGGAGGAGCTTGCCAGGCAGAGGGCACAGCAAATGCACAGGTCCTGACACAGGAGTTTCCTTGTTGAAGGAGACCAATTGTAGCTAAATAGAATAAGCCAAGGGAAAGATGTAAGAGAGGTCAGGAAAGTGGGAGTGGAGGGGACAGACTTGTAAGGCCTTGTAAATCATTGTGGGGTCTTTGTTTATTTTGTTTTGTTTTGTTTTAGACAGACTCTCGCTCTTTTGCCCAGGCTGGCTGAAGTGCAGTGGCACAGTCTTGGCTCATTGCAACCTCCGCCTCCCAGGTTCAAGCGATTCTCCTGCCTCAGCCTCCCAAGTAGCTGGGATTACAGGTGTGCACCACCACACTCAGCTAACTTTTATATTTTTAGTAGAGACAGGGTTTCACCATGTTGGCCAGGCTGGTCTTGAACTCCTGGGCTCAAGTGATCTGCCCGCCTTTGCCTCCCAAAGTGCTGGGATTACAGGTGTGAGCCACTGTGCTCGACCTCTCTGTTTTTTATTCTGAGTGAGATGAGAAGCCACTGGAGGGTTTTTAGTAGGGGAAAGACTTATGTTTTATGATATGACATAAAATTATTTAATTTTTTTACAACGGGGTCACCCAGGCTGGAGTGTAGTGGCGCAGTCATAGCTCACTGCAGCCTTGAACTCCTGGGCTCAAGTGATCCTCCTGCCTCAGTCTCCTAAGTAGTTAGGACTACAGGTGTGAACCACTATGCCAGCTAATTTTAAAATTTTTTTGAAGAGATCGGGTTTCACTATGTTGCCCAGGCTGGTCTCAAACTCCTGGCCTCAGGTGATCCTCCTGTCTTGGCCTCCCAAAACACTGGGGTTACAGGCACAGGCCACCACACTCAGCCTCTAAAAAAATTTATGGGTACATAATAGTTGTAAATATGATTTATGTTTTTAAAGGATTATTATGGCTGCTGTGTAGAAAATAGAAGGTAGGAGTGGAAGAGCTGAAGCAGGGAGACCAGTTAGGAGGCAATTGCAGGAATCAAAGCAAGAAATAATGGTGGCTTGGGTCAGGGTGATAGCAGTGCAGGTGGTGACAAGTGGTCATATTTTGGACGTAGAGGTGCCAGGATTTGCTGATGGATATGATGAGGAATATAAGAGAAATAGAGAGGAGTCAAGAATATTGTGAAGCTTTTGGCCCAAGCAAGTATTAGATAATAGTGGAAAGAACAGAGTCCTTGAATCAGAGGCTGTGAGAGACTAAATCTCAATTCCACGGTTTATGGATTGTGTAATCTTGGGCAAGTCACCGAACCTCTCTGAGCATCAGTTTCTTCATCAGTAAGAAACCTTTTGAAATATTGTGGCTCTAGGATCTTCTCAATTCTCTCTTTGTTAACTTACCATTCTCTAATGGCTTCTCACTGTATTTAGAATAAAATACAAACTCCTTTGAGGTCCAAGAAAGCCCTGTATGGACTGGCCTCACCTACCTCTCCAACCTGTCAGCTACATTGAGCTTCTTTTTGTGTTCGTCTGGTAACAAATAGAACCTGGTAACCCAACCCCTGCCCTCCCCTCCCCTCTCCTCTCTTTCTTTCTTTCTTTCTTTCTTTTTTTTTTTTTTTTTTTTTGACAGGGTCTTGCTCCATCACCGAGGCTGAAGTGCAGAAGTGAGATCAGAGATCATGTCACAGCTCACTGCAGCCTTGACCTCCCAGGTTCAAGTGATCCTCCCACTTCAGCCTCCTGAATTGCCGGGACTATAGGCACATGCCACCACACTCAACTAATTAAAAAAAAAAAATTGTAGGCTGGGCACAGTGGTTCATGCCTGTAATCCCAGCACTTCGGGAGGACGAGGAAAGCAGATCACTTGAGGCCAGGAGTTTGAGACCAGCCTGGCCAACATAGTGAAACCCCGTCTCTACTTAAAATACAAAAAATTAGCCAGGTGTGGCAGCTCGCGCCAATAGTTCCAGCTACTCTGGGGCTAAGGCGGGAGAATCGCTTGAACCCAAGAGGCAGAGGCTGCAGTGAGCCGAGATCATGCCACAGAAGTCCAGTCTGAGAGACAGAGCAAGACCCCTCTCAAAAAAAAAAAAAAAAAAAAAAAAAAATATATATATATATATATATATATTTGTAGACACTGGGGGGTCTCCTTATGTTGCCCATTTGAATTCCTGGGCTCAAGTAATCCTCCCACCTTGGCCCCACAAAGTGCTGGGATTACAGGCATGAGCCACTGCACCCGGCCAGAATTTGATAACTTTCCATCTTTTTTTTTTTTTATTTTCAAGAGGGAGTTTCGCTCTTGTTGTCCAGGCTGGAGTATAATGGTGCGATCTCGGCTCACTGCAACCTCTGCCTCCCAGGTCCAGGGGATTTTCCTGCCTCAGCCTCCCGAGTAGCTGGGATTACAGGTGTGTGCCACCATGCCCGGCTAATTTTTGCATTTTTAATAGAGACAGGGTTTCACCATGTTGGTCAGCCTGGTCTCGAACTCCTAACCTCAGGTGATCTACCCTCCTCAGCCTCCCAAAGTGCTGGCATTACAGGCGTGAGGCACCATGCCTAGCCGTAACTTTCCATCTTAAGAACTATCACTGGCTAGGCACTGTGGCTCACACCTGTAATCCCAGCACTTGGGAGGCCAAGGCGGGTGGATCACCAGAGGTCAAGAGTTCGAGACCAGCGTGGCCAACATGGTGAAACTCCGTTTCTACTAAAAATACAAAAATTAGCCGGGTGGATGCGCCTGTAATCCCAGCTACTCGGGAGGCTGAGGCAGGAGAATTGCTTGAACCCAGGAGGTGGAGGTTGTAGTGAGCTGAGATCACACCACTGCACTCCAGCCTGGGCGACCGAGTGAGACTGCGTCTCAAAAACAAACAAACAAACAGAAAATTACACATACTCTCTTCTCTCTGCCTGGAATGACCCTCACCCTGGTGCCTTCTCATCCTGCCAGAAATTTTACTTCCTCAGAGTGGCGTTTCCTGACCATCAATCTTGAAGGAGGTTCATACCATTATTCTCTCTTTCAGGCTTTGTTCTTTTCATTCAGAAAAGTTCATCACAATTTATAATTCTGTTTACCTGTTTACTGTCTGTCTCTTCCTCTAGACTGTAAATTCTATGAAGGCAGGGACCACCATGTGTATATCCAATGCCTAATACAATACTTGGCTCATAGTAGATTATCAATAAATATTTGCTGAAATGCTGAGCGACATATAAGGCTCTTATTGGTATTCTTTTGTTGGTTTGTTTATTTTTTTCATTCCCAGGCTGGAGTACAGTGTTGTGATCACAGCTCACTGCAGCCTCAACTTCCTAGGCTCAAGGGATCCTCCCACCTCAGCCTCCTGAGTAGCTGGGATTACAGGCACATGCCACCACACCTGGCTAATTTTTATTTTTATTTTTTTGTAGAGACAGGGTTTAACTATGTTTTCCAAGCTGGTCTTGAACTCCTGGGCTCAAGTGATTGTCCTGCCTCAGCCTCCCAAAGTGCTGGAATTAGAGGTGTGAGCCACAAGTGCCTGGCCTGGTATTTTTTTTTTTTTTTTTTTTTTTTACTTAAAAAATACCCACAAAACTGGCCGGGCATGGTGGCTCACGCCTGTAATCCCAGCACTTTGGGAGGCCAAAGCAGGTGGATCGCCTGAGCTCGGAGGTTCAAGACCACCCTGGGCAACATGGCGAAATCCCGTCTCTACTAAAATACAAGAAAATTAGCTGGGCATGGTGGCACATGCCTGTAGTCCCAGCTAGTTGGGAGGTTGAGGCGCGAGAATCTCTTGAGCCTCAGAAGTGGAGGTTGTGGTGAGCCAAGATCGCGCCACTGCACGCAGCTTGGGCTACAGAGTGAGATTCCATCTTGAAAAAAAGAAAATTTATTATTATTATTTTTTGTATTTTTAGTAGAGTCGAGGTCTCACCATGTTGGCCAGGCTTGTCTCGACCTCCTGACCTCAGGTGATCTGCCCGCCTCGGCCTCCCAAAGTGCTGGGATTACAGGTGTGAGCCACTGTGCCTGGCCAAAATTTACTTTTTGATATGAAATTTTCAACCAAGACTCATGGGACTTTATATTTTTGATGACTGAGTAGCTTTCAAAGGGAAAATTATGCATTTAGCAATGGTGCTAGAATTAGGTTCAAATTAACAAATTAAAGGTCTTAACCTAGGATCTGAGAAGTATTAAACCAGTTAGGAACTTTGTTTTCCCAGATATGTGCATAGCTTGTTTGCTTCCTCACCCTCTTCTTTACTGTAGTGTCACCTTCTCAGTGAGATCTTCCCTGCCCATTCAATTTAAAATTTAAACCCTCCCCCAACACTCATTTCCATTCTCTGCTTATTTTTCCTCCACAGCACTTATCATTTAACATATATCATTATTTTGTTTATATATCTCTCTCATCACCCCTTTGCTGTCTCTCCCATAATGTAACCTCCATGAATTTTGTTCACTGTTTTATCCCTAGCATATAGGACAATACTTGAGACATAATAGGCACTCAATATTTGCTGAACGAATATAAAGAACACTCATGAGTTTTCTCTTTGAATCTAATAGTGTGAGAATATGGAAAATCCACAATATGGCATTTCAGCAAAACAGTGATGGGACTTTGCAACCCAAATGTTTCTTCTAACAATACCCATAGCAGACCAGCATGTCCACATCTAAATTGCTCAGCTCTGAGAATAATGGAAACTTTTTTAGTCACTGTTTATTCTACTTAGAATTGTAAACTATAGGAAGAAGCAGAGTGGTGTCCAGGGGGTCATCTTGTAAGAGAATGCTCTCCCAAATCTCGGGCTCTGGGCAGTCTGCCTGTCAAGTAAGATTGGGGGTCATTAAGATAATCCTCTCTTCTCACTTTCAGAGGATTCCCTCTAAAACACAAGTACCCCAGGAGGGGAATCACAGCTTAATCCTTCTTCGTTTAACACTTGAGCTGGATTTAGGATATGAGGTGAGGAGTGGGCAGGAAGATTCATTTTACTAATTTTGTAATGCCTGGGGCAGAATTTGACCAGCTTTTTCCCACATCAGTCTCCTTCCCCCTAAATATCACTCCACAAACAAATGCTACAGACTGCAATTGATTGAGAATAGGAAACTGTTTTTAATCAGCTACAATTCTATCAACCTGTTCTACTCTGCAAACGTAATTACCAAGAGATCACAGACCTAAAGGAGATTCTGTTTTCAAACATACCAAACCGGTGCCACGGAGAGTGAACCAGATTATCTGCCTTCCAACTTGTGCCCTAAAGTGTAGACTTGGTTGTAGAGTGCCCACCTATGAGGTCACCATGTAGTATAAATAAGTATATACTGTATATGTAATTAACACCCAAATGTTTATACTCAAGTTGAGTGTCTTCTATGGCAAGTGCTATGAGCAGTGATTCTCCAACTCCTATCAGGGGATTAGTTAGGTACCTGAATGTATGCAAAAAATACAGATTCCTTAGCCCATCTTAGTTCTAACAAAACAAAATCTCTGGGAGGATACAACCTGATCATCTATTTTTTAAATAAGCATCCAGTGATTATCATGAATGGCCAGTGAGGAATCCCTGTAAGGGATACCCAAGAAATACCTTTATATATTTTATAAAGGTATATAAAATATAGTTTATTTGTAAAGTTAGACCTGAGATATGAAATAACTGAACATGATTTTCACTAGAGTGGTCAACAATTTGGAACACTACATAATGCTATCGATGTACAGGAAGGGAGAAATTAGTAGTGGGGAAGACTGAGTTGAGGAAATAAGACCCTGGTGGGCCTCAAGGTTCAGATAGGATTTGAATAAAGGAGAGAGAAGCATGTGGAGGAAAATCAGTAGGGAAATGAACAAAGGTTCGGAGGCAGGAACATAGGGGCACGTTCTCAGAACGGTGAGTTTGGCCAAATTAGAATAGACACTTTGATGAAGAGTTAGAAATAGTGATTGATAAGTAGGGTTGGGACAGAATACACAAGGTCTTAGAAGTCAGGCAAAAAAGTCTAACGTGACTGAGATGGGAAAATAGGAAGTAAAATCAAATCACCAACTGAGTAAAATACATTCTGAGTAATAGAAAGGGCATGGGTTTTGGTACATACTTAAGAGTTAAGCGGGCTGGCCGGGCGCGGTGGCTCATGCCTATAATCCCAGCACTTTGGGAGGCCAAGGTGGGTGGATCGCTCGAGGTCAGGAGTTGGAGACCAGCCTGGTCAACATGGCGAAAACCCATCTCTACTAAAAGTACAAATATTAGCCGGGTGTGGTGGTGCATGCCTGTAATCCCAGCTACTCAGGAGGCTGAGGCAGGAGAATCGCTTGAACTTGGGAGGTGGAGGTTGCAGTGAACCAAGATCGTGCCACTTGCACTCCAGCCTGGGTGACAGAATGAGACTCCATCTCAAAAAAAAAAAAAAAAAAGAAAGAAAGAGAGTTAAGCGGGCCAAGCACGGTGGCTCACACCACACCTGTAATCCCAGTGCTTTGGGAGGCTGAGGAGGACGGATCACCTGAGGTCAGGAGTTCAAGACCAGCCTGGCCAACATATAGTGAAACCCCATCTCTACTAAAAGTACAAAAATTAGCTGGGTGTAGTAGCACACGCCTGTAGTCCCAGCTACTTGGGAAGCTGAGGCAGGAGAATCACTTGAACCCGGGAGGCGAAGGCTGCAGTGGGCTGAGATTGTGACACTGCACTCCAGCCTGGGTGACAGAGTGACAGTGCGAGATCCCATCTCTTTAAAAAAAAAAAAAAAAAGTTAAGCCTGCCCCTTTTTCCTGTTAATTGAACTACTCTCCAGTAAGGCAGTAAGGGAAAACTTACCAGAGGAACCTGTCATAGCATACCTGTTGTCTGTCTTCTGGGCCAAGAGTCAAATACAAATCTCTTCAATCTCTGATACAAATTTCCTTTGCCTCTTCCTATTGAAATCAGTGGAAAGTTTCCAGGGAAGCTGAAAGCTGCTTTACAACTTAGAGCAATACTTACTTCAAATGTTAGAAACTCATCTGGGTCTGTTCGAAACCCTAAAGTAGTTTTCTAAATCTTAAACATATATTGGTCTGGAAATTCTCCATAGCTCACAAAGCACTTACCTACACTGAATATGAAGGTATTGCTTCCAATTCTCCTGGTAAAATAACTCGTGGGGCTGGGCACAGTACCTCACCCCTGTAATCCCAGCACTTTGGGAGACCAAGGCAGGAGGATCAGTTGAGGCCAAGTCTTTGAGACCAGCTTGGGCAATAGAGCAAGACCCTGTACCTCACGCCCCCCAGCCCCACCCCCAACAACAACAACAAAAAAAGGCTGGGCACAGTGGCTTCTCAGCACTTTGGGAGGCCAAGGCAGGATGATCAAGACCAGCCTAGGCAACATAGGGACACCCCAACTCTACAAATAATTTAATTTAATTTATTATTATTATTATTTTTGAGACAGTTTTGCCCTTGTTGCCCAGGCTGGAGTGCAATGACGTGATCTCAGCTCATCGCAACCTCCGCCTCCCGGGTTCAAGTGATTCTCCTGCCTCAGCCTCCCGAGTAGCTGGGATTACAGGCATGCGCCACCACGCCTGGCTAATTTTGTATTTTTAGTAGAGACAAGGTTTCTCCATGTTGGTCAGGCTGGTCTCGAACTCCCGACCTCAGGTGATCCGCCTGCCTCGGCCTCCCAAAGTGCTGGGATTACAGGCATGAGCCACCGCACCCACTCTACAAATAATTTTTAAATTAGCCCGGCATTGTGGTGCGCACCTGTGGTCCCAGCTACTCAAGGAGCTGAGGTGTGAGGATTGTCTGAGCCTGGGAGATTGAGGCTGCAGTGAATTGTGACTGCACCACCGCACTCCAGCCTGAGAAACATACACCCTGTCTCTAACCAAAAAAAAAAAAAAAAAAAAAAAAAAGAAGAAGAAGAAGAAGAAAAAGAAATTGTGAACTCTATGATCCTACAGAAAAACATTTTGAAAATAGACGGGCACAGGGGTAACGATATGTACCTAAGTAGTTAGGCTTTTTCCCTTTCTCTTCTATTTCTTTGCTCACTAAACAAGAAGTTTCAGAAGTCAATGTTCAAGCCAGAAAGCCAAGCTTCTGGGTGATAGAAGATTTTCTGGTTTCAGATTAAACAGAAAACTAAATTAGCAAATTAATTGTTGGATGTATTTTCCTGGGCCCTTCATCAGCTGCTGCAGGACCAGTAACCAATGAAAGATGACTTCTGGCTGCCCTGGAGAGGGGGCAGGGTTCAGAATCAGGTTCTGCTAGCTACCAAGTGTCAGACATGTTAATTTCAAATTACTTTTGTACAGCTTGGTGTCAAAATGATTAAAGCATGAAGAGAAAAACAGAACCAAAGGAGAAAGAAGGGAAATCATTTACCTTGCATTTGGAGCAAGGACACTTGCAATTCTATTTCAGCTGGCTTTCTCCCACAAGCTATGGAAATTCTAAGCTTTAGTTAGGCCCTTTAGTGATCACCTAAGATAGGAGATCATGGCTCTCCATTTCCTTTGTATAATGTCACTATCTCTATATAGCAGAGTCTATATCACAAACACTAATATGGTCACATTTTCTTCCCCTTTCCCCCCAATAAAACTTTATTTTGATAACATTGGGCTCTACATGTCAGGAACTGTACTAAGTATGCTTTACATTTAAAGT
This sequence comes from Homo sapiens, assembly GCF_000001405.40. Classification (NCBI taxonomy): domain Eukaryota; kingdom Metazoa; phylum Chordata; class Mammalia; order Primates; family Hominidae; genus Homo; species Homo sapiens. The sequence continues at coordinate 102,406 of NW_009646195.1, forward strand.
ATCAAATAATCCTTGCAACATGCTTTGTGTTATTATTCCCATTTACAGATGACAAAACTGAGGCTTGGAGTGGTAAAGCTACTTGCTCTAGTCACTTAGCAGAGGCAGAGGTGGGATTCTAGTCTCAGGTTTGTCTGACTACAGAGCCATACTGCCTCCTCTCAATTTTCCCTTTTGGATTGGAGGAACCAAGAATTTGGTTCTGATTGTTAAGACAACTTCATTGTTTCTTTTAACAGTCATGGGTGTCTTATTTTTGTCTAAAGATGCTGCTGAGGTCAGCCTTATTTTCCATAAAATAACAATTTTTAGAGAACCAGTTTCCCAGGGTGAACAGGTAACCAGCTCACTGGTTGGCTTGTCTTTGTCTCCCAGTACCCAGCTTTTCTAGTTGGTTTCATGGGCTTCATGACACTTTTTGCTCAAGATGAGTCATCTCATCTGATTTTTGTATGTGAAGTATAAGGCTGATCTCAGTTGCTACTGCTTTTCAACCATCCACGCAAAGCTGCACTGCTTGAGTTCTCTTAGTCTGCCAGATTTGATTATTTTCCTCACCCTTCCTATAGCCACTCACTTCACATTACCTGATTATTTAATATTATTATTTTTTTTTTTTTGAGAAAGAGAGAGTCTCACTCTGTTGCCCAGGCTGGAGTGTGGTGGCACAATCTTGGCTCACTGCAACCTCCGCCTCCTGGGTTCAAGCGATTCTTGGCCAGTTCACATTATCTTTTTTCATTATCTTCTTTTTTTTTTTTTTTTTTTGAGACAAAGTCTCACTCTGTCGCCCAAGCTGGAGTGCAGTGGTGCAATCTCGGCTCACTGCAACCTCCGCCTCCTGGGTTCAAGCAATTCTCCTCCCTCAGCCTCCCAAGTAGCAGGGACTACAGGCACACGCCACCATGCCCGGCTAATTTTTGTATTTTTAGTAGAGACAGGGTTTAACCATGTTGGCCAGGCTGGTCTCAAACTTCTGACCTCGTGATCTGCCCGCCTTGGCCTCCCAAAGTGCTGGGATTACAGGTGTGAGCCACTGTGCCCTGCCCACATTATTTTAACATGTTGTTGGCCTCTAGAATTGCAGTGTGGTGTTACAATTCGATTTTTTTTTTTTGAGACAGAGTCTTGCTTGATCTCCACTCACTGCAATCTCCACCTCCCAGGTTCAAGCGATTCTCATGCCTCAGCCTCCCGAGTAGCTGGGACTACAGGCGCCCACCACCAAACCCGGCTATTTTTTTTTGTATTTTTAGTAGAGATGGGGTTTTGTCATGTTGGCCAGGCTTGTCCTGAACTCCTGGGCTCAACTGATCCGCCCACCTCGGCCTCCCAAAGTACTGGGATTATAGGCATGAGCTGCTGTGCCTGGCCACAATTCAATTTTTAAGATTCTAGTGGTGTAGAAGTCACAATATTGCTCCCTGGACACTACTAAGTAAGTTTTAGGTACACAAGAATATCCCAAGGATGCTGAGTGATACCAAAGCCACCATTCAGGATAATATTGATAATGTCAGAGAAGTGATCTATAAACACAGGATAATTACCCACTGATAAATTCAGAAATATTGAACCTTAGAACTTCAAGAATGTTATCAGCTGACTTTTGGAGAGTGCTAGGTGCTTTCCAACAACCTAATGAGGTAGGTTATGTTATTTTCCCCCTCTTTACAGTGTCCAAGTGAAGCACAGAATAAGGATGAAAGGCACCTTAAACATTATATAGGACAGTGACAATTCACACTTTGCCTCCACTGAGTGATGTGCAGCTTGTTACATTCCAAGGCAGCCTATTTCATATTCACATGACTTCTTCCATATTCTGAGCTAAAACATATGTTTCTGAAGTTCCTATCTCTTAGTTCCGGAGCCTTGGGGCCTCCCAGGACAAGTCTAATTTCTTTGTACATAATAGTCCATCAGGTGTTTCAAGATGGTCTTTGATCACTCATGAATTCTCAACTCTTCTTCATAAGCCAGGGTTTGTGAAGAAGTTCCCTCACCATCTTGGTTGGTTGTTCTATTACATCCTTCTAAAAGAGAACATATTGCTTACGTGTGGTCTAATACAGAATAAATTGAGGCTCTTTCCATGTTCCAGATGCTATATTTCTATTAATACAGGCTAAAATTTGAATTAATTTTTTTCTTTTGGTCTCATCTTCTAATACCATCACTTATTTGAAGAAAACCACCAACCTGACTCCCCACCACCTCCCCTTGCCATGTACTTGATTTTCATGTTTATGCTCCTCTTCTAGTTCTGTCATAACACACCCACACACTTCTATTCTGCATGACCTTGATCCTCATTCTTTGCATGTGGTACTGATTTCTCCATGTGCACATATGTTACACTTATTTTCTCTCAGTTTCCTTCCATCGCCTTCTCTCATCCCACTTTACCTCCTGGTTTCTACCTTTCCAACATCAGAGAATCCAAGTCAGAAAAACTGTCTTGCTTTTTTATAATGTAAGGTAGACGTGTTCTGAAACATTTTTGTCTTGTTTGAGACAGTCTCACTCTGTCACCCAGGCTGGAGTGCAGTGGCACCATCTCGGCTCCCTGCAACCTCTGCCTCCCAGACTCAAGCAATTCTCATGCCTCAGCCTCCCAAGTAGCTGGGACTACAGGTACATGACACCATGCCTGGCTAATTTTTGTATTTTTAGTAGAGACAGGGTTTCACCATGTTGGCCAGGCTGGTCTCGAACTCCTGGCTTCAAGCGACCTCTGAGCCTCAGCCTTCCAAAGTGCTGGGATTATAGGCGTGAGCCACTGTGCCCAGCTTGAAACATTATTAACCAGTGAGGCTGGGTGTGTTTGTCCTGCTTAGCACTTACAATGCATATCCTGACAGTCTGAGGCTAGCTTCCAAGAAAGTAATCTGATTTGGGAATGCTTTTCCTAAGTAGATCTCCACATATTTCACTTTATCAGAGTTCCAAAGGAAAAAAATATGGCCCAGGACTTACTCATATAGGAGATATTATGAATGCAAAAGGTGGTAAATTAATGATACTCTTCACTCTATGGACATTTAAACTTATAAACAGCTTGGGTGATGTGGAAAACATAATGGAAACAGTCTGGGTTCAAATCCTAGCTCTGTTCCTTCCAGGCTAGGTGTTGTTGGGCCAGCTTACTGCTCTGTGTCTCCATGTACTATCTGTAAAATAGTGGCAACAATTCAGTTGTACTCACTTCTTAGCCCTGTTTGGGCTAATTAAAATAATTTTTAATTTAATTTTTTTTTGAGTCAGTCTCACTCTGTCGCCCAGGCTGGAGTGCAGTGGCACGATCTCGGCTCACTGCAACCTCCACCTCCTGGGTTCAAGTGATTCTCCTGCCTCAGTTTCCCGAGTACCTGGGACTATAGGCACGCACCACCGTGCCCAGCTAACTTTTGTATTTTTAGTAGAGACGGGGTTTCACCATGTTGACCAGGCTGGTCTCGAACTCCTGACATCAGGTGATCCACCTGCCTCGGCCTCCCAAAGTGCTGGGATTACAGGCATGAGCCACCACACTCAGCCTAATTTTATTTTTTTGAGACAGGGTCTTCCTTTGTCACCCAGGCTGGAATGCAGTGGCCCCAACCTGGCTCACTGCAGCTTCGACCTTTCGGGCTCAAGCAATTCTCCTGCCTCAACCTCCTGAGTAAGCTGGGACCACAGGCATGCACCACCACACCTGGGTAACTTCTTATTTTTAATAGAGACAAGGTCTCACTGTGTTGCCCAGGCTAGTCTCGAACTCCTGGGCTCAAGCGATTTGAGGAGTTAATTCTTATAAAGGGCTTAGAACAAACAGTGTCTGGCTCACAGCTATTATTATTCCTGCATGTTTGTAAGATAAGTTAAAGGTAGAACAGAAAAATTATTTCTTCCAGGCACTTGGGTTTTCTGCCTGCATCTTTACAAGCCTGGATTACTGAAGCGTTGGTATTGAGGTTTTGGCTTTATAAGGAAGTAGACATTCAGAAAGAGGCTCAAGAGTCATTTGTGAATGAATGCCCCTCAATCTTGGGCTGGTTAAGAGCAGGGTAGAACTGTTATTTAAGAGGGAGCGTAAATGCCAGAAGAATCATAATCTATCAGATGAGATCCAGCATGATCTCTTCCTTTTCTTCCTGTTGCAAAAAAAAAAATTTTTTTTTCAGACAAAAATGTGTAATTGTGGCTCCTAGCTGATCTAACAGAAGAATTAAGTGGTCTACGTGGACAATATTTTGTGCTTTTTAAATATTTGGATTAAAAAAAAACATGAAAACATGACCTCCTTCCACTCCCCGCCCCCCCACCCCGCCCCCGAATAAAACCCACTTTTAAAGTCTTGGTCATATAGCAGTTTAGTACAGAAGTCTACAAAATGTCATGGGTTCCACAGAAACTTACGTTTGGTTGTGTTGTATGGTCTACAATATAGATGCTACACTAACACTGAAGAAATTAGCTTAGATTGTGTTAAATCGTGTTAAAACACATTAAATAAATGCAAAGAGCCCAGAACAAAGAAAGTGATTAAGCTGGTTTAACCGCATTCAGCCCACTATGCTAAATCCCCTTAGGGGGCTCAAGTTAAACAACAAATTTGGTTTCTTGGCCTAAATCTTTTTCTTCAAAGAAGAAATTTTCCTGTGATTCTGATAAGTTTGTTTTCATTTTTCAGTCCCAAGGGACGTTGGGTGAAAATATCCTATCTGATTGGAGTTGCATTTGAGGAAGAGATGTACTAGAGAATAGAATAGAGGGCGACGGGTTATTGGGTTCCTTGAACGAACTGAGGCATGGGAGGTGTGCGATTGTTCAGCCCCAGAAAAAGGCCAGCTAGTGACACCCGGGATGAAAATTTTATCCGGCAGTGAATCAAATAAGGCTGCGAGGGAGATAATAAGGTGTAATTATAGCAGTGCTGTTAGTGCCTGTTTATGGGGTCTGGCAGCAATTTGGTTGATCACCCCTCATTTTGAGAAATTTGTAATTTGGCAGTAAGAATTCTTGCCTTAACATTTGGCACAAACCCTCACAGTTTAATATTGCAAAATCTGGGAAATGTTGAAATGTGGCTGCTATTCTAATTGAACTTTTTCAGGCTCTTTCGAATTCGTGTTTTTCCTGTTGGATTCAGAAACAAACGCCTCTCTTTTGAAAAGTTCATGAGGTTTTTAAAAATCACAAACTCAAGTAAGCTTACAAGCGAATGTACTGCTGTAAAAAACTCTCGTGACTTAAATCTTAGTGTACAGACGGGGGAAAAGCTGTCACTCGAAAAACCCGAGTTCCTTCTGTTGGTAGCCCTTTAAAAATTCTCCACAATCAGTACTTTAATTCATTTGGCTCAGAGCAGAGCAGCGTGGCGTTTGTTGCTCTTCGTTTTACCAACCGACCGTTTCCCCCAAGATTACTCCCCGTTGTTTTAAAGTAGAAGGGAGGTCACTAGGCGAGTGAAATGTGGCCCACGCAGACTGGGACAAGTTGGCCCAACGTGCTTCTCTAAAGTAACTGGAAGTTTTCTGACAGGAAACCGGTCAGTTCTTGTGTCTCTCAGCTCTGGTTCCCACGGCCCCGGCGGCAGCTGCGCCCCCGACGCCCCTCTCGGAGCCCCGCAGGGGCGCAGAGCACTGTGGGCGGCAGGGGGCAGCAGCGGGAACCCGTTGTTCTAGAGGCGGGGGATGGGGCGGGAAGCCGCCCCCCCTCCGTTTCCGCGCCCCACTCCCTCCCCTCCCCCGCTCGCGCCCTCCCTCCCATCCGCGGAGAGAAGGGCGGGGGCGCGGAGCCCTCCCGCGGGACAGGGGGCGTGTGCGTCCCCTCCGCACCCCTCCCCCCGGCCCGGCTCTCCTGGCTCCCCGAGGCGGGAGTTTCCAGGAAGAGCTCAGAGCGCGGCCGCACCACCGAGCGCACGGAGACATCAAGTAGTCCCTCAGAGCGACCTTGTTAGAGGGGAATTCTAGTTGCGAGGGGCTGTCGGAGTTGGAACCCCGAAGAGATAAGGGGTAGCGGCCCAGCCAGCAGGATCTCAGGTAGTTAGGTCTGAGCGCCCACTTCCATTCCTGGAGAAGGATGTGTGGGGGAGGCGGAACGAGTTCCGGCGGAGGGCTCGGGCGCGCCCGGTGGAGTGAAGCGCCGCGCGGTCGAAGGGCTCACAGAGTTGAAGTGGGCGGGAAAACCCGGAGCGGACTCGCTCCGACACGCCCAGGGCCTCCTGCCCTATTCTTCGTGGGGGAGGGGAACGAAAAGAGCAAAAGAGAACAACGTGTTCCCTTCCTCGGCTTCCTAACTCCCGGCCGAGGAGACAGGAGCCCGCCCGCCACTTCGAGGGACACGCTGCGGGCCTCTCAGATCCCGGCGGGGCGAGGAGGGCCGCGCGGCTGCCGTTCTAGCGTCCGCACCGTCGACGCTGAGCGCGCGGTCAGAAACCCGGGTCTGCGGACTAGAGGTGCTGGGCGCGCGCTTCCCGCCCCTTTTCTGAGCGCGTTCACCTCCCCCTTTCCCCCACGTTCCTCAGCCGCCACCTCAGAGCCTTCCCCGCATCCAGCTCTCTCTCTTCGGGAGAGGCGGCCCGTCTTGCCCATCCACTGAATAACCCCTTCACCCCAGTTTTTTCGACCCGCCTTTCCTGAGCTTCGGTACAAACTCCGCAGCTAGAGCTCAGCTTTCACATTCCCGCCTCCGCCCTCAGTCTCCCCTCCCAACCCTGAAGCACTTCCTGCAAACTGCCTTGTTCTCGCTCCTCTCCGCCCCGCCGCCTCCTTGCTCTTACTGGATGGCTGCTCTCACGTTGGCTGGGCGGCGGGTTATGATCCTGTATTCCTGCCTTCCTCAGAGAGCAGCCTCCTTCCCCATTTTAGAGATGGGGAAATTAAGGTCCACGGCTCTGACGGCCTGACCCCTAAAGGCTCCTCGAGTTCCCGAAATCCAGCACCGTAACTGCCGCTAGAAGGATAAACCCTCGACTTTCTCTAATTTAAGCAACCTTAGAAAACCAGCGCCTAAACCTTTCCTCTTAGGACCCTCAAGCTTTCTGACCAAACACCACCAGCCCAGTTAGCAAAAGCCATAGAAATAATGTACATCGCAGGTCAACTGTGTAACGATGACTTACGTTAGAAGAAGGGCCAGTGAGAGATTTTAGCTGGCATACGGGGTTTATAGACGTGAGACAGGTTATCTTTTAAACGTAAAGTCGTTTTTAAGCACGATGTGTAATGCTTTCTCTTAGATTTTGTAATTATCCTATTCGCTGTCCCGGCTCAACACTGTTCCTTAGGGTTTGAGAACATTTTCATGAAATGTGACCCCTCAAAAAAACACCAAACTACCATTTTAATTTTAAAAGATAGCTTTTCCTGGCCGGGCGCGGTGGCTCACACCTGTAATCCCAGCACTTTCGGAGGCCGAGGCGAGCAGATCACGAGGTCGGGAGATAGAGACCATCCTGGCTAACACAGTGAAACCCCGTCTCTACTAAAAATACAAAAAATTAGCTGGGCGTGGTGGCGGGCGCCTGTCGTCCCAGCTACTCGGGAGACTGAGGCAGGAGAATGGTGTGAACCCGGGAGGCGGAGCTTGCAGTGAGCCGAGATCACGCCACTGCACTCCAGCCTGGGCGACAGAGCAAGACTCCATCTCAAAAATAAATAAATAAATAAATAATAAAATAAAAGATACCTTTTCCTTTTTGTTAATATGGTTGGTTTTATTTATAAAAAATTTTTTAAAAAGTAATCAATCTAGTGGTAGAGATAAAACTTTTCTCCACCACAGGCTTATATGGGTAAAAATTCATTGTTTTCGTCTAGAGTATTTCATTATTTTTTCGAGACCGAGTCTCCCTCTGTCACCCAGGCTGGAGTGCAGTGGCGCCAGCTCACTGCAACCTCCACCTCCCGTGTTCAAGCGATTCTCTTGCTTCAGCCTCCCAAGTAGCTGGGATTAGAGGTGCGTGCCACCACGGCCCCGGCTAATTTTTGTATTTTTAGTAGAGACGGGGTTTCGCCATTTTGGTCAGGCTGTTCTCGAATTCTTGACCTCAGGTGATCGGCCCACCTCGCTCTCCCAAAGTGCTGGGATTACAGGCGTGAGCTACCGTGCCCAGCCTTAATATTCCATTATTTTATCGCTTAAGTTATATATTAATTGGAGGTTTCCAAAATGCTTTTTTCTCTCCTTAAGTGCTGCTCTCAGGTTCTTTTTTTTTTTTTTTTTTGAGACAGAGTCTCGCTCTGTCGCCCAGGCTGGAGTGCAGTGGCGCGATCTCGGCTCACTGCAAGCTCCGCCACCCGGGTTCATGCCATTCTCCTGCCTCAGCCTCCCCAGCAGCTGGGACTACAGGCGCACGCCGCCACGCCCAGCTAATTTTTGTATTTTTAGTAGAGACGCGGTTTCACCGTGTTAGCCAGGATGGTCTCTATCTCCTGACCTCGTGATCCGCCCGCCTCGGCCTCCCAAGTGCTGGGATTCCAGGCGTGAGCCACCGCGCCAGGCTCAGGTTCTGAATATGTAGATGAAGAGATGGGAACAGTAAATAACTAAGAATTGTCCAAATAGAAAGAAACAGGAGTAGGCAGTGATGTAATAGGAATATGAAGAATGATGACACAGTCCGATGTTAAAAAATAAGATGATAGGAATGAATGGCAGGAAAGAGAAATGTAAGTGTAAGGGTGGCCAGCTCTCCAAAAACTTTTAATTTTTAATTTTTTAGGGACAGGATCTCTCTTTGTTGCCCAGGCTGGAGAACAGTGGCTCAATCATAACCCATGCCCAGCTAATTTTTAAATTTTTTTTTGGAGAGATTGCGGGGAGGTTTGCCATGTTGCCCAGGCTGATCTCCAACCCCTGGCCTCAAGCAATCCTCCTGCCTCGGCCTTTCAAAGTGTTGGGTTCACAGGCATGAGACACCATGCCCGGCTAAGATTTAAAATACTGAAGAAAGATGGTAAAGTCTTAGGAATTATGTACTGTTTAGCTTTACATATGTGTTCACATACATAGCTTTTAATTGAGGAAGGATGAAATTGTCTTGGATTTAAGCACTTGCCTACATACATAGATTTGATGAGGAGTTCTAAGGAAGACCAGTATTAAATCTAGTTTACACTGGATTTCAAACTTTCCTAAAGTAGGAAGGGGGCAGAACCCTTTGATTTAGGTTTGACAGGCCCAAAACCTTTTTTTTTTTTTTCTTTTTTTTTTTTGAGACAAGAGTTTCGCTCTTGTTGCCCAGACTGGAGTGCAGTCGCGCCATCTCGGGTCACTGCAACCTCCGCTTCCCGGGTTCAAGCAATTTTCCTTCCTCAGCTGGGATTAGAGGCACCCGCCACCATGCCCAGCTAATTTTTTTGTTTTTTGTTTTTTTTTTGAGACAGAGTTTCGCTTTTGTTGCACAGGCTGGAATGCAATGGCACGATCTCGGCTCACTGCAACCTTCGCCTCCCATGTTCAAGCGATTCTCCTGCCTCAGCCTCCTGAGTAGCTGGGACTACAGGCGTGCGCCACCATTCCTGGTACCTCAGCCTCCTGAGTAGCTGGGACTACAGGCGTGCGCCACCATTCCTGGCTAATTTTGTATTTTTAGTAGAGATGGGGATTCTCCATGTTGGTCAGACTGGTCTGGAACTCCCGACCTCAGGTGATCCGCCCGCCTCGGCCTCCCAAAGTGCTAGGATTACAGAAGTGAGCCACCGCGCCCAGCCAATTTTTTTTTTTTTTTTTGAGTCGGGGTCTTGCTCTGTCGCCCAGGCTGGAGTACAATGGCCTGTTCTCAGCTCACTGCAAGCTCCGCCTCCTGGGTTCACGCCATTCTCCTGCCTCAGCCTCCCGAGTAGCTGGGACCACAGGCACCTGCCACCACGCCCAGCTAATTTTTTGTATTTTTAGTACAGATATTTTTCACCATGGTGGCCAGGCTGTTCTCGAACTCCTGACCTCACGTGATTCACCTGCCTCGGCCTCCCAAAGTGCTGGAATTATAGGCGCGAGCCACCGTGCCTGGCAGACCCCAAGCTCTTATCCATTCACCCCTCAAAGAAAACCACTTTACAGGCCAGGCACAGTAGTTCATGCCTGTAATCCCTGTTTGGGAGGCCAAGGTTGGGGGGTGGTCACTTGAGCCCAGGAGTTTGAGATTATCCTGGGCAACATAGCAAGACCCTGTCTCTACAAAAAAATAAAAATAAAAATAAAATCAGCTGGGTGTGGTGGTGCTCACTTGTAGTCCTAGCTACTTTGGAGGCTGAGGCATGGGAATTGCTGGCACCCAGGAGTTGGAGGCTGCAGTGAGGTATGATCACACCACTGCACTCCACTCTGGGCAACAGTGTGAGACCCTGTCTGTATAAAAATTAAATAAAGAGGCCGGGCACGGTGGCTCACGCCTGTAATCCCAGCACTTTTGGAGGCTGAGGCAGGTGGATCACCTGAGGTCAAGAGTTCGACACCATCCTGACCAACATGGAGAAATCCCGTCTCTACTAAAAATACAAAATTAGCCCTACTAAAAATGCAAAATTAGCCAAACATGGTGGCACATATCTGTAATCCCAGCTATTCGGGAGGCTGAGACAGGAGAATCGCTTGAACCTGGGAGGTGGAGGTTGCAGTGAGCCGAGATGCGCCATTGCACTCCAGCCTGGGCAACAAGAGCAAAACTCCGTCTCAAAAAAAAAAAAAAAAATTAAAGGTCCGGGTGCAGTGGCCCATGCCTGTAATCCCAGTACTTTGGGAGGCCGAGGCGGGAGGATCACGAGGTCAGGAATTCGAGACCAGCCTGGCCAGCATGGTGAAACCCCATCTCTACTAAAAATACAAAAAAATTGGCTGGGCATAGTGGGGCATTCCTGTAATTCCAGCTACTTGGGAGGCTTAAGCAGGAGAATTGCTTGAACCTGGGAGATGGAGGTTGCAGTGAGCCGAGATCACGCCACTGCACTCCAGCCTGGGCGACAGGGCAAGACTCCATCTCAAAAAAAAAGAAAAAAAATTAAATAAAGAAAGAAAATCACTTTACAGTCAAGTGATTGAACATATAACTGAAACCTAAGTACTTTTTGACCAATTTAGAAAGCGTTGCATTTAAACTGTATTTTTCAAATTTACCTTTCTGATGTGACCTTATGAGCTTTAGTTTCTTTTGGCTCCTTTAAAATATTTCTGCCAAGCTTCTGCCTCTGTGTCCAGAGTTCACTGCAACTTCAACCTCATTGTTACATCCTGGTCTGCAAACTGATACCTCTTATGGGGTTGGTGCTATAAGATAATGTAACTGGGTTTTCAGTCCTATTTTATTTCTAATATTTAAATTCAGAACTTTAATCGGAAGAACCCCAAGAACATTGTCTTTCTTAAGTAAAATGAAAAAATTATATGTGAAAATGTGTTACCTCTTATTAAATCCAAGGTTAATTTTAAGAACCTTTGTATATTACTGTATTGATATTCATAACCTACAACAATGGCCCATGTACATTAGAGTCAAAATGCTGTGGTTCATGTATTACTGAACTGGAGAGCAGTGGCACTATTTAATTTCTTGAGGGAAAATCACATTGTAGACCAACACCTATAGAAAAATTGATAGCAATTGTCAGCTTTATCATAATGGAATTCAGACATTTCCTTTATCATCAGCCTCTAGGTGAATAATAATATAAATGTAGGGAAAGGGCAAGGTTTTCCTTACAATAGGATGATAACTAGTAAATATAGATAGAATGATGGAGTAAGAAACTTATTCGTGGATGCTAAAACTAGTGGGTGGCAGTTTGATAAGGAGAGGGTTATTTACATAGGAAAGTATCTGTCCATAAGTTACTTAATAGTTACAAGGGAAAATAGTGGAGGAACCTCATTACCACTGCTTTAACCAAGTCATGAAACCTAATATCACTGATATTAGGACCAACTGACTTCCATGGGCCTCCTAATAAGAAGCACTGAGGACACAACATTGCTTCAATGGTAACCCTGCCCAAAATGCACAAGCTGAATCTAATCACGAGAAAATCTCAGACCAACCCAAACTGAGGGCCTTTTATAGAATAACTGGCCTGTACTGTTCACAAATGTCGAGGTCAGAAAACAGAAAGAAAAGACTGAGGAACTAGTACAGATTAAGGTAGACAAAAGAGACATGACAGCTAAAGGCAGTATGTGATCTTGGATTTGATTCCAGACCAGGAAAAAAATAGTCTTATATCATATTTTTAGGGCTCATGCCTATAACCCCAGCACTTTGGGAGGCTGAGGCAGGAGGCTCTCTCTCAAGGCCAGGAATTGGAGACCAGCCTAGGCAATATAGTGAGACCTACTCTCTACAACAAAAATTTATAAATTAGCCTGATGTGGTGGCACATGCCTGTAGGCCTAGCTACTTGGCAGGCAAGAGGATTGCTTGAGCCCAGGAGTTTGAAGTTGCAGTGAACTATGATTCAGCCATTGCATTCCAGCTGGGCAACAGAACAAGGCTCTGTCTCTATCAAAATAATAATATTTTTAGGACAACTAACGAAATGTAATATGGACTATGAATTAGTTGATAGTATTACATCAATGTTAAATGTCCTGATTTTTATATCTATACTGTGGTAACATAAGACAATGACCTTGTTTGTTTTTTTTTTTGTTTTTTTTTTTGAGACGGAGTCTCGCTCTGTCACCCAGGCTGGAGTGCAGTGGCGCGATCTCAGCTCACTGCAAGCTCTGCCTCCCAGGTTCACGCCATTCTCCTGCCTCAGCCTCCCGAGTAGCTGGGACTATAGGCGCCCGCCACCACGCCTGGCTAATTTTTTTGTATTTTTAGTAGAGATGGGGTTTCACCGTGTTAGCCAGGATGGTCTCGATCTCCTGACCTCGTGATCCACCTGCCTCGGCCTCCCAAAGTGCTGGGATTACAGGCTTGAGCCACCGCGCCCGGCCGACCTTGTTATTAAGAAATACACTCAGGGGTAATGAGTCTCGAATATATCTCAAATATTTCAGGAAAAAATGTGCATATATTTATAACTATGTATGTAAAGAGAGAATAATAAAGCAAATGGAGCAAAATGTAATTAATTTATGAATTTGGATAAAGGACTTCTGGGAGTTTCTTGTACTGTTCTTGAAATTTTTCTCTAAGTTGGAAATTATATTGTTTTAGATCATTTGTTCCACATCTTCATTTTGAAGAGGTGAAAATTCAGATTTTGAAAGATGAAGATTTGCTGAAGGTCACACAACAATTTAGTGGCAGAGTTAGGGCCAAAACCCAGATCTGCAGAAGTCAGTCCTCGTTTTACAACACCAACTGAATCCTTTGGTGTTTTTTTGGATGGCAAAGGTTGAGCCACCCCTTTTTACTTCTCTTTTTTAGTTTTTTAGTTCCTTAGAGCTAGTTCCTTTTATTAGGGAACCAGAGTAACGTAACTAAATGCTTCTTTCAGTTCCTTCGTGATTAGGCAAAGATCAGTTTGAAGTTTTTGAGCTGTGGAGTTTGGAATATCCTTTACCTTTTGTAGGCTCAATGTCTTTCTTATTGCCAGCCTTTTCCTGCATATGGTTTGTTTCTTTTATATGGTATTATTTGTACTCCCTCTCCCATATAATGATGTATTATTGTTTAAATTTCTTTCTGTAAGCCACTGCATTTCAAGGTCTCATAAATATTATCTACTCTAAAGATAATTGGCCTGGTGCAGTGGCTCATGTCTGTAATACCAGCACTTTGGAAGGCTGAGGCAGGTGGATCACTTGAGGTCAGGCGTTCGAGACCAGCCTGGCCAACATGGTGAAACTCCATCTCTACTAAAATTACAAAAATTAGCTGGGCGTGGTGGTGTGCACCTGTAGTCCCAGCTACCTGGGAGGCTGAGGCAGGAGAATTGCTTGAACCTGGGAGGCAGAGGTTTCAGTGAGCCGAGATCGTGCCACTGCATTCCAGCCTGGGCGACACAGAGAGACTCCATTTCAAAAAATAAATAAAATAAAATAAAAAGATAATTGCATGGTTTTCATTTCTGTGATTCTATGACTCAGTTTCCTTAATTGGTAGACAACTAAGGCATAATATACTGAAAAAAAGGAGAATATAGCATCTCAGAATTATATTCTTTTTTTAAACTTTTATTTTAGATTTGGGGATACATGTAAATATCAGTTACATCGGTAAACTCATGTCATGGGGGTTTGTTGTAGAGATTATTTCATCACCCAGGATGAAACCAGTACCCAATAGTTATCTTTTCTGCTTAAACCCAGTACCCAATAGTTATCTTTTCTGCTCTTCTCCCTCCTCCCACCCTCCACCCTCAAATAGACCCCAGTATCTCTTGTTTCCTTCTTTGTGTTCATAAGTTCTCATCATTTAGCTCCCACTTATAAGTGAGAATATGCGGTCTGGTTTTCTGTTCCTGCATTCGTTTGCTGAGGATAATAGCCTCCACCTCCATCCATGTTCCTGCAAAAGACAGGATCATGTTCTTTTTTATGGTTGCATCAAAATTACATTCTTAAAGGGTTTAATCTAATCACAATAATAGAACTTAATAGTTTTAGTGGTTAACTGAGTAATATCAGCTTTGTCAAAAAATTAAGAAATCAAATCTATCATTTTCCACATAAATCGGCTAACTGCTAATTGTCGTCAGTGTGAGCACTCCTTGTCTCCAAATGAGATAATGTAAAATATTAAGTTAGACCATATGAAATTGTCATTTTCATAGCAATCGAATATCAACAATTTCATATGGTTCAACCTAATATCAGTAATGATATTACGAAGTAGTGGCATATTTTCTCTTCTCTTACTTCATTAGTAGAAGCACTTAAAGACAGCTCAAGAGTCACCTGCTCTTTATTCTCCAACTTCTCAGTTTTCTTTCCCTACCTTGGCTGTTCTTCTATGCTGACAATCGCTATGAGATTCTTGCTAGGCTTCAGATTCCTCCAAATTTCCATCTTGGCTTACATTAGCTTTCACCACCTGGGAGCCTTCTTTTCTTTCTTTTTCTTTCTTTCTTTTTTTTTTTTTTGAGACGGAGTCTTGCTCTGTGGCCCAGGCTGGAGTGTAATGGCACGATCTTGGCTCACTGCAACCTCCACCTCCTGGGTTCAAGCAATTCTCCTGCCTCAGCCTCCTGAGTAGCTGGGATTACAGGTGCCCGCCACCACACCTGGCTAATTTTTGTATTTTTAGTAGAGATGGGGTTTCACCATTTTGGCCAGGCTGGTCTTGAACTCCTGACCTCATGATCCACCCGTCTCGGCCTCCCAAAGTGCTGGGATTACAGGTGTGAGCCACTTCGCCCAGCCTCTCAGCACCCACATTCTATCTGGACCTTAGATTATTTATTTATTTATTTATTTATGATGCAGTCTCACCCTGTTGCCTAGGCTAGAGTGTAGCAGTGTGATGATGGCTCACTGTAGCCTTGACGTCCTGGGCTCAGGTGATCCTCCCACCTCAGCCTCCCAACTTAGGAAGGTTAGAGTCCTTCCTAAGATTTATGGGGTTAGGCTGGGTGCGGTGGCTCACACCTGTAATCCCAGCACTTTAGGAGGTTGAGGCAGGAGAATCACTTGAGCTCAGGAGTTTGAGACCAGCCTGGGCAACATAGTGAGACCTCGTCTCAATTTATAAAAAAACAAGGCCTCCCTCGGTAAAGTCCCTCTTGGTTAAAAGTGGATTTGGCACTATGGGATGTTAACCACCATTCTGTTTGGATTAATCTGCCTTGCAATCTTTGCTGATGGCTGTGGGTGACAGGATTAGGCAAGTATAGAATCACGGGATATGGGGAGCTTTTTTTCTCCCCAAAGGGAGAAACTTGAGAGCTGATGGGACTGCTGGAAAAAAAAAAATCCCTTCCTGACTCACAAGCAGCCACCTGAGCTTTTGATTCAGTGTCGCTGCAATGGGTGGGCCTTTCTCTGGCCTCCCTAGCTCCTAGCCTTCCCCACCCCACTGCAGGCAATGCTTCTCTTTCTCTCTGACTCCTTTCCCTTTCCTGTCTTTTCTGTACTCAGGGCAACTGTCTATTCTTCCTTCTTGCCCAGAGACCACATGTTGAAATTCCTGGTTGGAGGTCATTCCACCCCATACTGAGTGGATCAAAGATGACAGGGCCCAACCGGAGGCAAGTTTGAGCTTTGCCAGTTAAATATTGGCCACTAAGGGGAATGGCTAATGTCTATGTTTTGTGACACGTATTTTGCTCTGGTTGGAATGGGAAAGGTTAATTTGGTTCCCCCATGCAGCTAGTTGGGTGGCATCTTGCAAAATTGAGAGGCTTTTGCCTGTGGTTCCGTGAAATGGAAAACGATGATTTTCTTTCTTTCTTTCTTTCTTTTTGAGACAGAGGCTCACTCTGTTGCCCAGGCTGCAGTGCAGTGGCGCGATCTTGGCTCACGACAACCTCCACCTTCCTCATTCAAGCAATTCTCCTGCCTCAGCCTCCCGACTAGCTGGGACTACAGGCATGCGCCACCATGCCTGGCTAATTTTTGTATTTTTAGTAGAGACCAGGTTTCACTAAGTTGGCCAGGCTGGCCTGGAACTCCTGACCTCATGATCCGCCCGCCTCAGCCTCCCAAAGTGCTGGGATTATAGGCGTGAGCCACTGTGCCCAGCGATGATTTTCCTTTGTATTGTGGCTAGGCCCCCAGGGCTATGGTGCAGCAAGCAGGGTTGCTAGGGCCACTCAGGAAAAGGGAACCCGGCTGGGAGTGGTGGTTCAGGTTGAAGTCAGGAGTTCAAGACCAGCCTGGCCAACATGTACAAAAGTACAAAAATTAGCTGGGCATAGTGGTATGCACCTGTAATCCCAGCTATCTGGGAGGCCGAGGCAGGAGAATCGCTTGAACCCAGGAGGTGGAGGTTGCAGTGAGCCAAGACCGTGCCACTGCACTCCAGCCTGGGTGACAGAGTGAGACTCCATCTCACAAAAGAGAAAAAAAAAAAGGAAAAGGGAACCCCAGAAACCTGGCATGCTGGCAAAAGGGTAAGAGTTTCTTACCAGTCAGACTTCTGGCCTCTCCTCTGTGCAAACTGGTTGTGGGAACAGTAAAAATCATTGTCTCCTCTGCAAATTTTTGATTAATTAAAGATTCATGAGGCTAGTCTTAAGCTATAGCAAATGTGGTGTGCTTTGTGCTATGAATTTATCTTTCTGTATTGTTCTGTCATAAAAAGAAGTACCTTAGGATAGAACATGGACTTAGGGCCTCATAAGCCTGCTGTTCAAGCCAGCCTGGCAAACTGGTCAGTTACAAACTTTGTTGGAGGTCCCTGAAACAAAAACTGGATAAAATTTCCCTCTTGTCTTGTTTTATGTCCTTGGGAGCTTGACCTTGTAACCACGTGGTGGTACTTTCTCTTGGTTTCCGCCATCCAGAGGACAGGAATTTTGGAGTTCATGTCATAGTTAGCTCTAAAAATTATCTTGAGTAGTTAAAAGCCTTTGCAAGCTCAAAATTGACTGCTCTAGGCTCCGTCTGGGAAGAGCAATGGAAACTGCCTAATGCTGTAGCTTAGTAGCTAAGGTTTTGTCTTTTCACAATGGCACCCTGGGTTAAATTTTCAGCCTAGAGAATAAATACTTTCTGGTTGATATTTGTGTGACCTTTGCCACTTGTTGATTTCCTTCCCCTCTATGTACAACTTCTGACTTCCCATCTTGAATTTTTTCTTCTCTGAACACCTGGGAGGTTACCTTTGGTAAAGTTCAAAAGCCAGAAATATAGGCTGTTTGGCCTAGCTAGAGTCTGATAATAAAAGATTTGGTTAAGTCAGCTTAATTAAAAGTAGATATCCAAACTATGCATATATTAAAAGGTTTTTATGCTTTTTTCACTTCTTGGATCTTATTTTTCTGAAGAAAAAAAGTTCTTTTATTCTCAGTCAACTGAATTGTTTTTAAAGTATACTCCTACAAACAAAATTTGGAGCATCTTCCTTTCTCCCTGGTTTCTCCAAACTTTGGAAACTGTTTGTAAGTATTCTTACTTATGGCAATACAGTTATTTGCATAAGTGCAATAAGAATCTGTCTTTTGGCTGGGCGTGGTGGCTCATGCCTGTAATCCCAGCACTTTGGGAGGCCGAGGCAGGTGGATCACCTGAGGTCAGGAGTTCAAGACCAGCCTGGCAAACATGGTGAAACCCCATCTCTACTAAAAATACAAAAATTAGCTGGGTGTGGTGGCAGGTGCCTGTAATCCCAGCTACTCTGGAGGCTGAGGCAGAAGAATCACTTGAACCCGGGAGGCAGAAGTTGCAGTGAGCTGAGATCGTGCCACTGCACTCCAGCCTGGGTGACAGAGCAAGACTATCTCAAAAAAAAAAAAAAAAAAAAATCTGTCTTTTGTAACAGAACACAGTTGGAGATACTCATTAATTTATCAAGGCTTTGACTGAAATGGCATGCTTTCAGGTACAAACAGACTGTTTTAAGGAATTGAAGTTGACTTATAGAGCTAATAAAATCCCCTTGGGGGAGCTGGGCGCGGTGGCTCATGCCTGTAATCCCAGCACTTTGGGAGGCCGACGTGGGCAGATCACGAGGTCAGGAAATCAAGACCATCTTGGCCAACATGGTGAAACCCCGTCTCTACTAAAAATACAAAAAATTAGCCAGGCGTGGTGGCAGGTGCCTGTAGTCCCAGCTACTCAGGAGGCTGAGGCAGGAGAATGGCGTGAACCCAGGAGGCGGAGCTTGCAGTGAGCCGAGATCGCGCCACTGCACTCCAGCCTGGGCGACAGAGTGAGACTCCGTCTCAAAAAACAAACAAACAAAAAACCCTTGGGGGCTAGGCACGGTGGCTCACGCCTGTAATCCCAACACTTTGGGAGGCTGAGGTGAGTGGATCACCTGAAGTCAGGAGTTCAAGACCAGGCTGGCCAACATTGTGAAATTCCACCTCTACTAAAAATACAAAAATTAGGCAGGCATGGTGGCGCATGCCTGTAATCCCAGCTACTAAGGAGGCTAAGGCAGGAGATTTGCTTGAACCTGGGCCACGGAGGTTGCAGTGAGCCGGGATCATGCCACTGCACTGCAGCCTGGGTGACAGAGCAAGACTCTGTCTCCAAAAAAAAAAACACTTGGGGAAAAAAATGTTCTCATACCTTGTCTACGCAGGCCCTGTGCAGGGTTACAGGGTTCCTGACCTATGATGATAAGTAAAGAATGTCACGTTCTGACAAGCCTAGGAACCCCATGTTATCTTTGGACCTCAAGAGGAGAGGAATTTACCTTACTCATATAGGTATTTGATGGCACAAACCCATGGCCGAGCTTAAGGCTTTAAAAAGTCTTATCTTGCCAGGCATGGTGGCTCATGCCTGTAATCCCAGCACTTTGGGAGGCTGAGGCAGGTGGATCATCTGAGGTCGGGAGATCGAGACCATCCTGGCTAACACGGTGAAACCCCGTTTCTACTAAAAATACAAAAAAATTAGCCAGGCATGGTGGCACATGCCTGTAATCCCAGCTACTTGAAAGGCTGAGACAGGAGAATCACTTGAACCCGGGAGGTGGAGGTTTAGGTGAGCCGAGATTGCACCATTGCACTCCAGCCTGGGCAACAAGAGCGAAACTCTGTCTCAAAAAAAAAAAAAAAAAAATTCTTACCTGAGATTTCTCATGGAACAAAGTTCCATCAAAGCCAATTTACAAATGAGCCTATATGGGAAATTATTATTCTTGCTGTGCTTTATGCAAATAATCAGGCCAAGTATAATAAGACTAAAGCTTATTTTGCAAACAAATTAGTCCTATCATGATTTGTTTTTAATAAAAATGAGGACTGGAGAGAGAAAAATTATGTGTAGTTTTTTTTTGTTTTTTGTTTTTTGTATTTTTTGAGACAGAGTCTCACTCTGTCGCCCAGGCTGGAGTCCAGTGGCACAATCTCAGCTTACTGCAATCTCTGCCTCCTGGGTTCAAGCGATTCTCCTGCCTCAGTCTCCCAAGTAGCTGGGATTACAGGCGCCTGTCACTACGCCCAGCTAATTTTTTGTATTTTTAGTAGAGGCGAGGTTTCACCATGTTGGCTAGGCTTGTCTCGAACTCTTAACCTTGTGATTCGCCCGCCTCAGCCTCCCAAAGTGCTGGTATTACAGGTGTGAGCCACTGCGCCCAGCCGAAAAATTATTATTATTATTATTATTATTATTATTATTATTTTGAGACAGAGTCTCACTCTTTCGCCCAGGCCAGACTGCAGTGGCGCTATCTCGGCTCACTGCAGACTCTGCCTCCCTGGTTCATGCCATTCTCCTGCCTCAGCCTCCCGAGTAGCTGGGACTACAGGCCCCTGCCACCGTGCCCGGCTAATTTTTTGTATTTGTAGTAGAGACGGGGTTTCACCGTGTTACCCAGGATGGTCTCGATCTCCTGACCTTGTGATCCGCCCGCCTTGGCCTCCCAAAGTGCTGGGATTACAGGCGTGAGCCACCGCGCCCGGCCCAAAAAATTATGTTTTAAGAAATATGCTACACCTGTTATTAGAGTCTAGTCTCATCAGTTGTTTTTGAGGGTTTTTTTTCTGCAATTTATACCAACCCTGGTTATTCCTGCCAATCAACCAGTGATCTCTGACTGCAGCTCAGAAGAAACAAGAGGGATGGATAGTGTAAAAATCTGGATCAGTATTCTAATTCTGGGCACGTACTGGAATCAGCTAGTGATTCCATATTAGCTTGATTCCAGCAATTGCTCAGTTAATGGAAAGCCTTCTTATTTAGTTTACTTGGGATAATTTTTCTTATTTTGCTTTACTGTTGTGGAATATATTGCTGTTGTACCCTTTGTGTAGGAATGCAGGATAAGCTTACTCAATGTTTTCTTTTTTCTTTTTTTCCTCCAACCTCTCCTCCCCCTCAATGTTTTCTTAAATTTAATCCTTGTTAATCTTCCAGATATCCCCTTTTGTCGAAATTCATAGTTATGAATGGTCCTTACTATACTGATGCTTCCTGACTGAGCTCCTCTCTACCCTGAATACAAGAGACCCTAGTAGTTAGGCAGGAATATCATTGTCCCTGTTTAGCCTGAAGAAGTTACGGAAGATGGATTTTTGTCCCTCTAAAACCCTTAGGATTAAGAGTCCCCTTGTAAAAGGGAGGGGAGAAATATGTCAGAGGCATTTGAACCAGAGTGACTTTATCTTGAATAGGGGCTGGGTAAAATAAGGCTGAGACCTACTAGGCTGCATTCCCAGGAGGCTAGGCATTCTTAGTCATAGGATGAGATAGGAGGTCGGCACAAGATACAGGTCACAAAGAGCTTGCTGATAAAATAAGATGTAAAGAGACCAGCCAAGCCCCACAAAAACCAAGATGGTGGCCAGGCGTAGTGGCTCATGCCTGTAATCCTAGCACTTTGGGAGGCTGAAGCAGGTGGACTGCTTGAGCCCAGGAGTTTGAGACCAGCCTGGGCAACATAGCAAAACCCCATCTCTACAAGAAGTTTATATATATATTATATATATTATATATATATAAAACATATAATATATATAACATATATAATATATTATATATAAAATATAAAATATATAAAAATATATATAATATATAAAAATATATATAAAATATATAATATATATAATATTATATATTATATATATTAGCCAAGTGTAGTGGCAACCGCCTACAATTCCAGCTACTCAAAAGGCTGAGGTGAGAGGATCACCTGAGGTTGAGGCTGCAGTGAACTGTGTTTGTGCCACTGCACTCCAGCCTGGGCAACAGAGTGAGACACTGTCTCAAACAAAAATCCCCCAGAAACCAAGATGGCAATGAAAGTGACTTCTGGTTGTTCTCACTGCTCATTATATGCTAATCATAATGCATTAGCATGCTAAAAGACATTCCCACCAGTGCATGACAGTTTATAAATGACATGGCAACATTCGGAAGTTACCCTATATGGTCTAAAAAGGGGAGGGGCCCTCAGTTCCTGGGAAATCTCTACCCCTTTCCTGAAAAACTCATGAATAATCCACCCCTTGTTTAGCACATAATCAAGAAATAACCATAAGTATACTCAGTCGAGCAGTCCATGCTGCTTCTCTGCCGATGTAGTAGCCATTCTTTTACTCCTTTACTTTCTTTCTTTCTTTTTTTTTTTAAGACGGAGTCTCCTTGTCTCCCAGGCTAGAATGCAGTGACGATCTCGGCTCACTGCAAGCTCCGCCTCCTGGGTTCACGCCATTCTCCTGCCTCAGCCTTCCGAGTAGCTGGAACTACAGGCACCCGCCACCATGCCCAGCTAATTTTTTCTATTTTTAGTAGAGACGAGGTTTCACCATGTTAGCCAGGATGGTGGCGATCTCGTGATCCTCCCGCCTCGGCTTCCCAAAGTGCTGGGATTACAGGCGTGAGCCACCGCGCCCGGCCTCCTTTACTTTCTTATTAAACCTACTTTCACTTCACTCTATGGACTCACCTCAAATTCTTTCTTTCGAGAGTTCCAAAAACCCTCTCTTGGGGTCTGGATCGGGACCCCTTTCCGGTAACAGTTTGGATAAGTACTGATTGATAGATGTAAGAAGTCAAGGGAGGTTTTACTTCTTTCATTTTATTTTATTATTATTATTATTATTATTATTATTATTATTTTGAGACGAAGTCTCACTCTGTTGCGCAGGCTGGAATGCAATGGTGTGATCTTGGCTCGCTGCAACCTTCGCCTCCGGGGTTCAAGCAATTCTCCTGCCTCAGCCTCCCGAGTAGCTGGGATTACAGGCATGCGCCACCATGCCCAGCTAATTTTTGTATTTTTAGTAGAGATGGGGTCTCACCACGTTGGCCAGGCCGGTCTTGATCTCCCTACTTCAGGTGATCTGCCCACCTCAGCCTTCCAAAGTGCTGGGATGACAGGCATGAGCCACCACACCCGGCCTATCATTGTTACTATTATTATTATTTTGGGGTTGGGGGAGGCTTTACTTCTAAAGAGAAAGGTCAATGTTTTTGATTTTCCTCCTTCTGCCATGTGGCTTTTCTAGAAATAGTCTTTGAGTTTCTTTTATTAGTTAATCTTTTTCTTCCTCCTATAACCCCTTTTTTTTTTTTTTTTTTTTGAGACGGAGTCTCGCTCTGTTGCCCAGGCTGGAGTGCAGTGGTGCAATCTCAGCTCACCGCAACCTCCACCTCCCAGGTTCAAGTGATTCTCCTGCCTCAGCCTTTCAAGTACCTGGGATTACAGGCGCCTGCCACCACGCCTGGCTAATTTTTTTGTATTTTTAGTAGAGACGAGGTTTCACTCTGTTAGCCAGGATGGTCTTGATCTCCTGACCTCGTGGTCCGCCCACCTCGGCCTCCCAAAGTGCTGGGATTACAAGCGTGAGCCAGATGGCACCGGGCCTGTTTAGCTTATTGTACTTAGTGAATACTTTTTTTTTTTTTTGAGATGGAGTCTCGCTCTGTCGCTCAGGCTGGAGTGCAGTGGTACGATCTTGGCTCACTGCAACCTCTGCCTCCCAGGTTCAAGTGATTCTCCTGCTTCAGCCTCCTGAGTAGCTGGGATTACAGGTGCACACCATTATGCCTGGCTAATTTTCGTATTTTTAGTAGAGGCGGGGTTTTACCATGTTGGTCAGGTTGGTCTTGAACTCGTGATATCGCGATCCGCCCACCTCGGCCTCCCAAAGTGCTGGGATTACAAGCGTGAGCCACCATGCCTGGCCTATACTTAGTAAATACTTTCTAAGTGGCAAGTTGCAATTCAAATGTCACTTTTTACATGAATCTTTTTTTTTTTTTTTTTTTTTTTGAGACGGAGTCTTGCTCTGTCGCCCAGGCTGGAGTGCCGTCGTGGCGCCATCTCAGCTCACTGAAACCTTGGCCTCCCAGGTTCACGTGATTCTCCTGCTTCAGCCTCTTGAGTAGCTGGGATTATAGGCACCCACCACCGTGCTCAGCTAGTTTTTTTTTTTTTTTTTTTTTTTTTTTTTTTAGTAGAGACAGAGTTTCACCATGTTGGCCAGGCTGACCTCAAGTGACTTGCCTACCTCGGCCTCCCAAAGTGCTAGGATTATAGGCATGAGCCACCGTGCCCGGAATGAATCCTTTCATGACTCCCAGAGGCAGAATTCAACGTATCTACCACTGAATTCACATAGCTCAGAGTTACATTACAAAGTGCTATAAAAATAATGGTTTCTGATCAGGCATGATGGCTCACACCTGAAATCCCAGCACTCTGGGAGGCCAAGGTGGGAGAATCTCCTGAGCCCAGGAGTTTGAGACCAGCTTGGGCAATCTTGTCTCTACAAAAGAAAAAAAAATTTAATTAAAAAATTAGCTGAGCTTAGTGGCGTGCACCTGCTGGGGTGCCTACTGGGGTGCCTACTCCCCACCTACTGGGGAGGCTGAGGTGGGAGGATTGCTTGAGCCCGGGAGGTTGAGGCTGCAGTGAGCCAAGATCATGCTACTATACTCTAGCCTGTGTGACAGAGTGACATTCTGTCTCAAAGAAAAAAAAATAAGTTTCTTTAATAATGTGGTGTAATATTTTGATTGCAAGCAACAGAAAAATCATCTCCAACTATCTTAAACAATTAAGAGAATTTAGTCATCAGCTGAAAATTCAGGCAAAGCTTTGTCCTCAGTGTTAAGGCTCGATGATGTTACCAAAGACCTGGTTTCTTTCCATTTCTCCTTCTGAAATATTTGATATTCCTGTGTGTGTGTGTGTGTGTGTGTGTGTGTGTGTGTGTGTGTTTTGGAGACAGAGTCTCGCTCTGTCGCCCAGGCTGGAGTGCAATGGCGCAATCTTAGCTCACTGCAACCTCTGCCTTTGGTGTTCAAGCGATTCTCCTGCCTTAGCCTCCTGAGTAGCTGGGATTACATGTGCCCACCACTGCGGCCAGCTAATTTTTGTATTTTTAGTAGAGACGGGGTTTCACCATCTTGGCCAGGCTGGTCTTGGACTCCTGACCTCGTGATCCACCCGCCTTGGCCTCCCAAAGTGCTGGGATTACAGGCGTGAGCCACTGTGCCCAGCACCTAGATTTGTTCTTTTGTGACGTCAGTATGATTACAGCAGCTTCTAGAAGGGCCATCTGTGTTTTCTTCACCTCAAATAGGAAGATAATATCTCTCAAGGAAACTCCTTCAGAATAACAAGAAAGTATGCTTTCCAGAAGCCCCAGCAAAGGTCTTTTTATATCTCACTGGCCTGAATTAAGGTCACCTGTTCATCACTGATCTAGTCAATGTCTATGGGGATAAGCGTGTGCCGGGCTTAAGCCAAGTTACCCCTGGATGTAAGAGTGGAGTCAGCTTCCTTATGTGGTTACACGTAAGAGAATACGCATCCTGTTACTAAGAGGAAAGAGAAAGACTGTTGGGCAGTCAAAACCAACAAAAATCCACTGCATGATGCTGACCACATTCAACTACTTCTGTATTAATACCTTGATTAGTACACTAATGAAAATTTCTGTATAAATTAATGTTCACACAAAAACTTGTACATGAACATTCATGGCATCAGTATTTTTTGTTTGTGTGTCCATTTTTTAACTCAAAGACTTTGTTTTATTACAGTACATAGACTGGGATCGATGGGAAGATGTAGATGTCGTGGGCAACCATGGTTAGCATCGTTAGCCCATCCCCATCGTCATGAATGTATCAAAGATGCCTCTACTCTGCATCATGGTTTTCCCAATGCCGCCCATCACCTCCTGATCCTGCATCCCAATCCTGAGACAGAGGGTGCTGAGGAGCACCGTGGCCACCATGGCCACTGTTCAACCCATTATCAAAGCCTATCTCCATGCAGTCAAAGCAGCCTGGCTGAGACTGTCCCTAGGGACCCACAACCACTGGCATCTCGCTCTCAGCCTTGGTCGCTCAGCTCTCCATAGCATTGAATTCATAATAGCCAAAAAGTGGAAACAATTCTAGGGTCCATCAGCTGATGGATAAACAAAATGTGACATAGCCACAAAATGGAATATTATTCAGCAATAAAAACGAGTGAAATACTGATACCTGCTATAACATGCATGGAACTGAAAACATTATGCTAAGTGAAAGAAGCCAGTCACACCAGGCCACAAATTGTGTGACTTATTTTATATAAAATATGTACAAAGTAGATTAGTGATCACCAGAGGCTAAAGGAATAGGGTTTAGGGCATGACTGCTAATGAGTAGAGGGTTTTCTTTGGGGGTGAAAGAATGTGCTGGAATTAGGTAGTGGTGTGAATATACTCAAATCACTGGATTGTGCACTTTATTTTATTTATTTATTTTTGAGACAGAGTCCCAGTGAGTTGCCCAGGCTGGAGTACAGTGGCGTGCTATTGGCTCACTGCAACCTCTGCCTCCTGGGTTCAAGTGATTCTCGTGCCTCAGCCTCCCAAGTAGCTGGGATTACAGGCATGTGCCACCATGTCCGGCAAATTTTTGCATTTTTAGTAGAGACAGGATTTTCCACGTTGGTCAAGCTGGTCTCAAACTCGTGGCCTCAAGTGATCTGCCTGCCTCAACCTCCCAAAGTGGTGGGATTACAGGCATGAGCCACTGCGACTGGCCCTCTTTTTTCTTTTTTCTTTTTTTTTTTTTGAGACGGAGTTTCGCTCTTGTTGCCCAGGTTGGGGTGCAATGGCGCAATCTTGGCTTACCGCAACCTCTGCCTCCCAGGTTCAAGCCATTCTCCTGCCTCAGCCTCCCAAGTAGCTGGGATTACAGGCATGTGCCACCATGCCTGGATAATTGTTTTCGTATTTGTAGTAGAGACGGGGTTTCTCCATGTTGGTCAGGCTGGTCTCAAACTCCCGACCTCAGGTGATCCGCCAGGCTTGGCCTCCCAAAGGGCTGGAATTACAGGAGTGAGCCACCACGCCAGGCCTATTGTCGTTTTTTGGAGACAGAGTCTTGCTCTGTTGCCTAGACTGGAGTGCAGTAGCACGATCTTGGCTCACTGCAACCTCTGACTCCTGGGTTCAAGTGATTCTCCTGCTTCAGCCTCCCCAGTACCCACCATCACACCCATCTAATTTTTGTATTTTTTGTAAGGATGGCATTTCACCGTGTTGGCCAGGCTGGTCTCGAACTGCTGACCTCAACTAATCCGCCCGACTCAGTCTCCCAAAGTGCTAGAATTACAGGCGTGAGCTACCACGCCCGGCCTAAAGAACATTTATTGATCACACTACTGGTTAAGTGGTGCAAAAGAAACACACAACTTTTTATCTACACAGTTCTATAATTTTTATGAAAATCAGGGACCTTGAACATACATCATGTTTAATAAGGAATCAAAGCAATTGCTAACAAATTCAGAGCATTCCTCTGGACTCCTTCAACCGGTTCTAACAGTTGCTCTCCAAGGTAGAGATGGCAAAATGTTGTGATTACCAAGGAGCCACCTTTGAGAAAGATTAAGAGGGCAGTGTGGCCAGATAGGCCATCAGCAATACATTTCATCAGAATAAGGGAAGAGGATGCATCTGTTTAACCATATTCCCAAAAAAGTAGAGACTGGAAAGAAAAACAGAGAGAAAGCCAATAGTGTTAGCAGCTCTTTCAGGGGGAACAAAAAGAGAAGATGAAGTGTGACCAAGTGTACAAAGCTGGAAGGATGCAAGAAAAAATTGCCATCTAGTAGTTGCTTCAGCTCTTTTTTTTTTTTTTTTTTACATATTTCAACTGTTTTATTTGCTTTCTGGGGTGTCAAATGTGAGCGCTCTCAGGGTCCAGCCCCAAGCAGTGTCCAGCAGATTCTTCTCCGCCCAAGGGTCCTGGACATGGAGGTTTCAGACAAAAGGCACTGGCTGGAGCTCTGGAAGTCAGGCAGAAGCCACCCTGAAGCTGGGGGTCTCAAGTCTGCCTTTGGGGAGAGAAAATACATTCACTTTGGCAGGATTGGTTTTTCACTTTTGGATGAGGTCAGGGTCTGAGTCCTCCCAGCTCTCCTTGTCTTGCAATGTGTTCTGCAGATCCTGGTGGCATTTCTGCAACTCCTGGAACCTGGAGACATATGGATCAGAGTGCTCATCCAAGGCAGGAACCCCAGAAGGTTCTCCCCGGGCAAAGGCAGGGCGCTCCACCCTCCAGGGTACCTCTGACAACATCAGTAATATCAGCAGCATCTGAGAGCAACGCCATGGCACAGGTCCTGGCCTGCGCGTGATGGTCCTGGTGCTGGTTGCTATCTAGTTGCTTCAACTTTAATGTGAATATATCCACTGTCTCTAGAGAAGGACCAGTAACCTAAAACTAAAGGAGAAACTAAATAAAAAGAATAATACAAGTTTACCAAAGACTAAATCACAAAGTGGATTTCCTTTTTTCCTAAATTAGCAATAGTGAGAAATGGCCGGGCGCAGTGGCTCACGCCTGTAATCCCAGCACTTTGGGAGGCCAAGGCGGGCGGATAAGAGGTCAGGAGATCGAGACCATCCTGGCCAACACGGTGAAACCCTGTCTCTACTAAAAATACAAAAAATTATCCGGGCGTGGTGGCAGGCACCTGTAGTCCCAGCTACTCGGGAGGCTGAGGCAGGAGAATGGCATGAAACTGGGAGGCGGAGCTTGCAGTGAGCCAAGATCGCAGTGAGCCACTGCACTCCAGCCTGGGCGACAGAGCAAGACTCTGTCTCAAAAAAAAAAAAAAAAAAAGCAACAGTGAGAAACTTCCAGTGTTCCAAAAGTACTAATTTAAACCATTTCTTTAATCCTTTGAAAGGCTTCTTTTTCACTAGTTGCTGCCGTTATCTCCCAGAAACATTAGTGACAACCCATGTGACTTTAATATAATTTCTCAAGGTCTGCATGGGAATTTTCAGTGTATTGTGTTCAAGAAACTCACCTGCTCCAACGCAATATTTGTAGCGAACTATAGAAATGATCCCTGAGGCCAGGTGTGGTGGCTCACATCTGTAATCCCCGCAGTTTGGGAGGCTGAGGTGGGCAGATCACTTGAGGTCAGGAGTTCAAGACCAGCCTGGCCAACATGGTAAAACCCCATCTCTACTAAAAATACAAAAATGAGCTGGGCATGGTGGTGGGCACCTGTAGTCTCAGCTACTCAGGAGGCTGAGGCATGAGAATCACTTGAACCTGGGAGGCGGAGGTGGTTGCAGTGAGCCAAGGTTGTGCCACTGCACTCCAGCCTGGGCGATAGAGCAAGACTCAGTCTCGAAAACAAAGAAGAAATGATCCCTGAAAGTATAGTCTTCAAACCAATATTTGTATTTTTGTACACAGAAAAAAAGTTTTGAAGCTTGGGGGTGGGCTAAAGAAAAGTGAAAATAGACAATACACTTTTTTTTTTTTTTTTTCTGAGACAGGGTCTTGCTCTGTCACCCAGGTTGAAGTGCAGCGGTGTGATCATAGCTCACTGCAGCCTCAACTTCCTGGGCTCAAGCAATCTGTTCACCTCCGATTTCTGAGTAGCTGGGACTACAGGCACACACCACCACACCCAGCTAATTTTTGTAGTTTTTGTACAGACAGGGTCTCATTATGTTATCCAAGCTGTAATACTTTTTTTTGTTTTTTTGAGCTCGTTCTGTCACCCAGGCTGGAGTACACTGGCGCGATCTCGGCTCACTGCAACCTCCACCTCCCTGGTTCAAGCAATTCCCCTGCCTCAGCCTCCTGAGTAGCTGGGATTACAGGTGCACGCCACCATGCCCGGCTAATTGTTTTTGTATTTTTTTTTTTTTGAAACGGAGTTTTGCTCTCGTTGCCTCGTTGCCTAGGCTAGTGGTGCAATCTCGGCTCACTGCAACCTCCACCTTCCGGTTTCAAGAGATTCTCCTGCCTCAGCCTCCCAAGTAGCTGGGATTACAGGCGCCCACCACCACGCCCAGCTAATTTTTTTGTATTTTTAGTAGAGACGGGGTTTCACCATGTTGGTCAGGCTGGTCTCGAACTGCTGACCTCGTGATCCGCCCGTCTCGGCCTCCCAAAGTGCTGGGATTACAGGTGTGAGCCACCGCACCTGGCCCTTTTTTTGTATTTTTAATAGAGACGGGGTTTCACCATGTTGGCCAGACTAGTCTTGAACTCCTGACCTCAGGCAATCTACCCGCCTCGGCCTCCTAAAGTGCTAGGATTACAGGCATGAGCCACCACACCCGGCCTGTAATAAATTTTTAAAGGCCTCTTTGGCAAATGTTTGGTAGATGAACAAACGGCTAGCAGTGAAGAATTGGGAGGGATATCAGGGACAGAGCAAGTGGCTGATTACCCTTTGAGCACACTCTTTTTTTTTTTTTTTTTTTGAGACAGGGTCTTACATTGTCACCCAGGATGGAGTGCAGTGGCACAATCTCGGCTCACTGTAGTCTTGATCTCCCAAGTTCAGGTGATCCCCTGCCTCAGCCTGCCCCCTAGTAGCTGGGACTACTGGTGTGAGCCACCACACCCGGTTAATTTTTGTAATTTTTTCTTTCTTTTTTTGAGACAGAGTCTTGCTCTGTCGCCCAGGCTGGAGTGCAATGGCATGATCTCAGCTCACTGCAACCTCCGCCCCCCAGGTTCAAGGGATTCTCGTGCCTCAGCCTCCCAAGTAGCTGGGTCTACAGTCATGTGCCACCACACCCAGATAATTTTTGTATTTTTAGTAGAGACGGGGTTTTGTCATGTTGGCCAGGCTGGTCTCGAACTTCTGGCCTCAAATGATCTGCCCGCCTCGGCCTCCCAAAGTGCTAGGATTACCCTACCAGCCAAATTTTTGTACTTTTTGTAGAGATGAGATTTCACTATGTTCCCCAGGCTGGTCTTGAACTCCAGAGCTTAAGCATCCCAAAGTGCTAGGGTTACAGGTGTGAATCACTGAGCCTGGCCTGAGCACATTCTTTATTGAACAAGTGGCCACTTATATAGTATTTTTGCCAAAAATATTTACCTTTAATTATAAAGAAATAATCAGATCATTTTGTAGTTCATAAGCATGATGATTGGGCATTCACATGGATGTGTGAAATGTGCCATCCACAAACATTGTTATGATGTTGGCACATTACCTGTCTGACATGAAAAAGAGGAAAAAGGGCTGGGCGCAGTGGCTCACGCCTGTAATCCCAGCACTTTGGGAGGCTGAGGCGGGCAGATCACGAGGTCAGGAGTTCGAGACCAGCCTGGCCAAGATGGTGAAACCCCATCTCTACTAAAAATACAAAAATTAGCCAGGTGTGGTGGCAGGCGCCTGTAATCCCAGCTACTTGGGAGGCTGAGGCAGGAGAATCGCTTGAACCCGGGAGGCGGAGGTTGCAGTGAGCCCAGGCAATGCCATTGCACTCCAGCCTAGGCAACAGAGTGAGACTCTGTCTCAAAAAAACAAAAACAAAAAACAAGGTAATAGTGTTTTTAAAACAATGTAAATATTATAAGCAGTAATCAGACAAAACTAATTCAAAGCTGTAGCTGAACTCTTTGCTTTCAAAGTTGAAAAGGAAATGAAAGCAATTTTTTGCAGGTAAATCAGTAAAATAAATACTATGGAAATGAGGAAAACATGGACTAATCAGTTCAATTCTGTAATGATATGTGACCAAATGGCATCTATGCAAGTGACAAATCACAAAATAAACCAACTAAAGAATAATCTTCAAATGTACTTTTAGTTCTTAGCTGCAAAGATGCTGGTCTGCATTCATGTGCATTGCTAATTTAAGAAAGAGAGCCTGGGCCAGGTGCGGTGGCTCACACCTGTAATCCCAGCGCTCTGGGAGCCCAGGGCTGGCATATCACCTGAGGTTGAGACTTTGAGACCAGCCTGACCAACATGGAGAAACCCCGTCTCTACTACAAATACAAAAACAATTATCCAGGCATGGTGGCGCATGCCTGTAATCCCAGCTACTTGGGAGGCTGAGGCAGGAGAATGGCTTGAACCTGGGAGGCAGAGGTTGCGGTAAGCCAAGATTGCACCATTGCACCCCAACCTGGGCAACAAGAGCGAAACTCCGTCTCAAAAAAAAAAAGAAAAAAAAAGAGGGCCAGTCGCGGTGGCTCACGCCTGTAATCCCACCACTTTGGGAGGTTGAGGCAGGCAGATCACTTGAGGCCACGAGTTTGAGACCAGCTTGACCAACATGGAAAATCCTGTCTCTACTAAAAATGCAAAAATTCGCCGGACATGGTGGCACATGCCTGTAATCCCAGCTACTTGGGAGGCTGAGGCACGAGAATCACTTGAACCCAGGAGGCAGAGGTTGCAGTGAGCCAATAGCACGCCACTGTACTCCAGCCTGGGCAACTCACTGGGACTCTGTCTCAAAAATAAATAAATAAAATAAAGTGCACAATCCAGTGATTTGAGTATATTCACACCACTACCTAATTCCAGCACATTCTTTCACCCCCAAAGAAAACCCTCTACTCATTAGCAGTCATGCCCTAAACCCTATTCCTTTAGCCTCTGGTGATCACTAATCTACTTTGTACATATTTTATATAAAATAAGTCACACAATTTGTGGCCTGGTGTGACTGGCTTCTTTCACTTAGCATAATGTTTTCAGTTCCATGCATGTTATAGCAGGTATCAGTATTTCACTCGTTTTTATTGCTGAATAATATTCCATTTTGTGGCTATGTCACATTTTGTTTATCCATCAGCTGATGGACCCTAGAATTGTTTCCACTTTTTGGCTATTATGAATTCAATGCTATGGAGAGCTGAGCGACCAAGGCTGAGAGCGAGATGCCAGTGGTTGTGGGTCCCTAGGGACAGTCTCAGCCAGGCTGCTTTGACTGCATGGAGATAGGCTTTGATAATGGGTTGAACAGTGGCCATGGTGGCCACGGTGCTCCTCAGCACCCTCTGTCTCAGGATTGGGATGCAGGATCAGGAGGTGATGGGCGGCATTGGGAAAACCATGATGCAGAGTAGAGGCATCTTTGATACATTCATGACGATGGGGATGGGCTAACGATGCTAACCATGGTTGCCCACGACATCTACATCTTCCCATCGATCCCAGTCTATGCACTGTAATAAAACAAAGTCTTTGAGTTAAAAAATGGACACACAAACAAAAAATATTGATGCCATGAATGTTCATGTACAAGTTTTTGTGTGAATATTAATTTATACAGAAATTTTCATTAGTGTACTAACCAAAGTATTAATACAGAAGTAGTTGAATGTGGTCAGCATCATGCAGTGAATTTTTGTTGGTTTTGACTGCCCAACAGTCTTTCTCTTTCCTCTTAGTAACAGGATGCGTATTCTCTTATGTGTAACCACATAAGGAAGCTGACTCCACTCTTACATCCAGGGGTAACTTGGCTTAAGCCCGGCACACGCTTATCCCCATAGACATTGACTAGATCAGTGATGAACAGGTGACCTTAATTCAGGCCAGTGAGATATAAAAAGACCTTTGCTGGGGCTTCTGGAAAGCATACTTTCTTGTTATTCTGAAGGAGTTTCCTTGAGAGATATTATCTTCCTATTTGAGGTGAAGAAAACACAGATAGCCCTTCTAGAAGCTGCTGTAACCATACTGACGTCACAAAAGAACAAATTTAGGCGCCGGGCGTGGTGGCTCACGCCTGTAATCCCAGCACTTTGGGAGGCCGAGACAGGTGGATCACCTGAAGTCAAGAGTTCGAAACCAGCCTGGCCAACATGGTGAAAACTTGTCTCTACTAAAAATACAGAAATTAGCTGGGTGCGGGGTGGGTGCCTGTAATCCCAGCTACTCAGGAGGCTGAGGCAGAAGAATTGCTTGAACGCCGAAGGCGGATGTTGCAGTGAGCTGAGATTGCGCCATTGCACTCCAGCCTGGGCGACAGCGGGAGACTCTGTCTCCAACACACACACACACACACACACACACACACACACACACACACACACACACACACAAATTTAGGGATATCAAATATTTCAGAAGGAGAAATGGAAAGAAACCAGGTCTTTGGTAACATCATTGAGCCTTAACACTGAGGACAAAGCTTTGCCTGAATTTTCAGCTGATGACTAAATTCCCTTAATTGTTTAAGATATTTCGAGGCCGGGCGCAGTGGCTCACGCCTGTAATCCCAGCACTTTGGGAGGCCGAGGCGGGTGGATCACGAGGTCAGGAGATCGAGACCATCCTGGCTAACACGGTGAAACCCCGTCTCTACTAAAAATACAAAAAATCAGCCGGGCGAGGTGGTGGGCGCCTGTAGTCCCAGCTACTCCAGAGGCTGAGGCAGGAGAATGGCGTGAACCCCGGGGGGCGGAGCCTGCAGAGAGCCGAGATCGCGCCACTGCACTCCAACCTGGGCGACAGAGAAACTCCGTCTCAAAAAAAAAAAAAAAGAGATATTTCAAGATGATTTTTCTGTTGTTTGCTATAAAAATATTACACCACAATATTAACGAAAACTATTTTTTTTTTCTTTGAGACAGACTCTCATTCTGTTACACAGGCTAGAGTACAGTGGCGTGATCATGGCTCACTGCAGCCTCAACCTCCCGGGCTCAAGCAGTCCTCCCACCTCAGCCTCCCCAGTAGGTGGGACTACAGGTGCACGCCACTACGCTCAGCTAATTTTTTAATTAAATTTTTTTTCTTTTGTAGAGACAAGGTTGCCCAAGCTGGTCTCAAACTCCTCCCAGAGTGCTGGGATTTCAGGTGTGAGCCATCATGCCTGATCAGAAACCATTATTTTTATAGCACTTTATAATGTAACTCTGAGCTATGTGAATTCAGTGGTAGATACGTTGAATTCTGCCTCTGGGAGTCATGAAAGGATTCATTCCGGGCACGGTGGCTCATGCCTATAATCCTAGCACTTTGGGAGGCCGAGGTAGGCAAGTCACTTGAGGTCAGCCTGGCCAACATGGTGAAACTCTGTCTCTACTAAAAATACAAAAAAACTAGCCAAGCATGGTGGTGGGTGTCTATAATCCTAGCTACTCAGGAGGCTGAAGCAAGAGAATCGCGTGAACCTGGGAGGCCGGAGTTGCAGTGAGCCGAGATGGCGCCACGGCACTCCAGCCTGGGCGACAGCAAGACTCCGTCTCAAAAAAAAAAAAAAAAGATTCATGTAAAAAGTGACATTTGAATTGCAACTTGCCACTTAGAAAGTATTTACTAAGTATAGACCAGGCATGGTGGCTCACGCCTGTAATCCCAGCACTTTGGGAGGCCGAGATGGGCAGATCACGAGGTCAGGAGTTCAAGACCAGCCTGACCAACATGGTAAAACCCTGCCTCTACTAAAAATACAAAAATTAGCCGGGCATAGTGGTGCGCACCTGTAATCCCAGCTACTCAGGAGGCTGAGGCAGGAGAATCACTTGATCCTGGGAGGCAGAGGTTGCAGTGAGCCAAGATCGCACCACTGCACTACAGCCTGAGCAACACAGCCAGACTCCATCTCAGAAAAAAAAAAAAAGGTATTTACTAAGTACAATAAGCTAAACAAAATTAAGCAGATTTCTTTCACTGTAGACCTTCTGAGGGCCTTTATTATACTAATATGAATTATGACTATATCCAAGAGAGGGATATAATATGCAGTATTTACTAAATTTACTTCACCCTGAACACCTAGCATTATTTCAAGGAATATGGTTGGCTCAGGAAACACTGGTAGTAGAATGTTAACAGATGGCTAGAAGAGAAGAACAAGATCATCCTGGCCAATTTATTAAGAAGTTTTTATGGTGGGGGGTGCGGTGGCTCACACTTGTAATCATAGCACTTTGGGAGGCCAAAGCAGGTGGATCACAAGGTCAGGAATTCAAGACTAACCTGGCCAACACAGTGAAACCCCATCTCTACTAAAAATACAAAAACTAGCTGGGCGTGGAGGCAGGTGCCTGTAATCCCAGCTACTTGGGAGGCTGAGGCAGGAGAATCGCTTGAGCCCAAGAGGCAGAGATTGCAGTGAGCTGAGATCACACCATCGCACTCCAGCCTGGGGGACAAGAGGGTGAGTTCGTCTAAAAATAATAATAATAATAATAAATATTATTTGTATGGAAGAAAATATAGAAAGTTAGAAGGGAAGGCCGGGCCCGGTGGCTCATGCCTGTAATCCCAGCACTTTGTGATGCCGAGGCGGGCAGATCACCTGAGGTCAGGAGTTCAAGACCAGCAGGGCCAACATGGTGAAATCCCGTCTCTACTAAATATACAAAACTTAGCCGGGAGTGGTGGCACACACCTGTAGTCCCAGCTACTCAAAAAGCTGAGGCAGGAGAATCGCTTGAGCCCGGTGACGGAAGTTGCAGTGAGCCGAGATCGCACCACTGCACTCCAGCCTGGGTAACAGAGCAGGACCCTGTCTAAAAAAAATAAATAAATAAAATAAAGAAAGAAAGAAAAAGAGAGAGAGAGAGAAAAAAGAAAATTAAAAGGGATGAAAATGTGAGAAGAAAAAAAATAGGAATTTGTAAGGATGGAGAGGGAGATGGGAAAAGTGTGAAGTAGCCATAAAGCTAACTAATGTGTTTGATGACTCGTTCAGAATCTGAGAGTGCCAAGTCTAGTAGAGTAAAAGACATTAGGAAATTGCCTCTAAATTATATCATTGTCAGTTCTTTCTCAAAACGTACCTGTTAATTTAATTTAATTTAATTATTTATTTATTGTTGAGATGGAGTCTTGCTCTGTCGCCCAGGCAGGAGTGCAATGGTGCAATCTCGGCTCACCGCAACCTCTGACTCCTGGGTTCAAGCAATTCTCCTGCCTCAGCCTCCCCAGTAGCTGGGATTACAGGCAGCCGCCACCATGCCTGACTAATTTTTGTATTTTTAGTAGGGACGAGGTTTCACCATGTTGGCCAGGCTGGTCTCGAACTCCTGACCTCAGGTCATCCACCTGCCTCAGCCTCCCAAAGTGCTGGAATTACAGGAGTGAGCCACCGCATCAAGCCTACACACCTGTTTATTTATTCTTAGAAGGAAGAGGAACTATTTTTTGTAAGTATTAAGGTCCAGTGAATGACAAACCAGTGAATTAAGTTATTTTTTGAGCTTGAATTTCATAGAATCATGGAACATAAGATCTGAAGAAACTTGGAAATTGTCTCATAAAACTAATCTAGTGTTCTTCCCTCTCATTCATTCATTTATTAATTCACCAAGTATTTGTTGAGTGTGCCTGGCAAAATCTCAGGTCACATAGGTGAAAAAATAGTTCCGATCCTGAAGGATAAAATAACCGCTATGAAAAGCTTTATGCAAGTTTCAAAGGGCATACAGATGAAGAGTTGTCTGGTTTTTTGTTGTTGTTGTTGTTGTTGTTGTTGTTGTTGTTGTTGTTTTGCAATGATGTCTCGCTCTGTTACCCAGACTGGAGTGCAGTGGCACATTCTTGGCTTACTGCAACCTCCACCTCCTGGGTTCAAGCGATTCTCCTGCCTCAGCCTCCCCAGTAGCTGGGATTATAGGCACTTGCCACCATGCCCAGCTAATTTTTGCATTTTTAATAGAGACGGGGTTTCACCACGTTGCTCAGGCTGGTCTCGAACTCCTGACTTCAAGTGTTCCGCCTGCTTCAGCCTCCCAAAGTGCTGGGATTACAGGTGTGAGCCACTGTACCCAGCCTGTTTGTTTTTGAGATGAAGTTGCAATACTTGAGCTAAGTCTTCAAAAAGGAACAGGCGTTTACCCGGTGAACAGGATGGGAAGAAATTCTGGCTGAAGGGATAGCATATGAAAAAGCACTGGAATATGATATAGGAGGGTATATTTAGAGAAGAGAATGTAATTTGGTATATAAGAGATGCCAGTCATTTCTCCTATACTTGCATCCCCTTCTTAGCAACCTGCCCTTCCCAAAGTCAATACATAGTGGATACCCTATATATTGAATGGCTCTGTAGTCCTGGCCACAAAATCAGGAATGAGCCCTTGACTAGAGCTAACGAGATTTTTATCATTCAGGAATAAAGTAAACTGTATAGACTTTCATTGTTGTTAATGGCATACAATGTAATTTCAGCCAGCCCTCCTACTGAATACAGCTAATCAGCTGGATGAAAAATAAAATGCATCCTCTAAAAGTATATCATAACTAACGAAATAGTGAGGAATTAACTGGGCCAAGATTTTGGATTGGTAAGGAATTTGAAGTGAGGAGCTAGCACTCGATGCTTTGTCTGAGGCATTTGCTGATGCAGAACAAGTAATTAGAAAGCTAAGATGTATGTTTGGCAGCCTTAAGAGCCCATGGGGACAAAAGTTGGAGTCCAGGACTAATAAAGGGTGGCAGCCCTTCTATATCACCCTCGGATTTGGCCTAGGACTTTAAAACCCTGCATTGTAGGTATAAGGGAGTACAAGTAAAGTAACTCTCATGTAGACTGCAGACTGAATTCAAATCATCTAAGTGGCCCAGAAAAATCTCAAGGCCTGAACTTACATTAAGTTGCCCCTAATTGCTAGTGGCAAGAGTAAAACCAAATCCACTTTGGAGAAAAAATAACATCATCCCAGGCCTCAATTGTTTCTGTAATTTTCTTTCTTTCCCTTCCTTCCTATTTCTCCTTCCTTCCTTCCTTCCTTCCTTCCTTCCTTCCTTCTTTTTTGTTTGTTTTTGAGACACAGTCATTCAGGCTGGAGAACAGTGGCACGATCTCAGCTCACTACAACCTTCGCCTCCTGGGTTCAAATGATTCTTCTGCCTCTCAGCCTCCTGAGTAGCTGGGATTACGGGTGTGTGCACCACGCCCGGCTAGTTTTTGTATTTTTAGTAGAGTCAAGGTTTCACTGTGTTGGCCAGGCTGGTCTCAAACTCCTGGCCTCAAGTGATCCGCCCGCCTTGGCTTCCCAAAGTGCTGAGATTACAGGCACAAGCCACCGCACCCAGCCTATAATTTTCTTTCAAATACAATGTTCAGTACAAGAATAACCAGGTTTCTAGGAACAAGAATCAAAATAGCTTAAACAAAAAGACAACCAGGCACACAAGGAGACAAAATACCAGAAATAAGGAGGACAAATAACAGATAATAGAAACAGACCCACAGGGATTCCATATTCTGCAATGACTAGATACGGACTATAAACAACTCTGTGTACTATGTTTAAGGAGATCAAAGCCAAACTTGAAAGATTTGGCAGAGAACTGGAATTATAAAAACTGAAATTAAAAAGGAATATATTGGCTGAGCGCAGTGGCTCATGCCTGTAATCCCAGCACTTGGGGAAGCCAAGGCAGGTGGATCATCTGAGGTCAGGAGTTCAAGACCAGCTTGGCCAACATGGTGAAACCCCATCTCTACTAAAAATACAAAAAATTAGCCGGGTGTGGTGGCAGGTGCCTGTAACCCCAGCTACTTGTGAGGCTGAGGCAGGAGAATCACTTGAACCTGGGAGGCAGAGGTTGCAGTGAGCCGAGATCACGCCATTGCACTCCAGCCTGGGCAACAAGAGTGAAACTCCTTCTCTAAAAATAAAAATAAATATAAATATATTAATAGTAGATTTATAAGTGAACAAAATAGAAACTCTAGCTTGAGACAGTAGTGAGCACTGAAATATGTAAAGATCAAAGAGAATCAGCCTACTGATATTGTTGGTCCACCTACAAGTTCAGGAAGAAATACAAAAAGAAACAGAGATTAAAATGCATGTGACTCCAGGGAAAGAAAGATGGAGAGAGAGTAGGTACTCGACTGTTTTCCGGTTCAGCCTCTTCCCACTACAAAGGATGCCACAAGAAGCTGGGCACAGTGGCTCACACCTGTAATCTTAGCACTTTGGGAGTCTGAGGCAGGAGGAATTGCTTGAGGCCAGAAGATCGAGACCAGCCTGGGCAACAGAGCAAGACCCTGTCTCTAAAAAAAAAGTGGGCTACAATGCCACTGCCCTCCAGCTTAAGCAACAGAGTGAGACCCTGTCTCAGAAAAGAAAAAAAAAAGGATGCCACAATAAATATATTTGTATGCATAGTCTTACGTATTGATGTTTAATTTTTTTTGCCTCCCCTCCCTCCCTTGGTGTTTTTATATCTATAGAAAAGATTCCCAAAAGTGAAATTGCTGCATTAAAATTATGTGTTACATTTTTAAAGATATTACCACAGTACTTTCCAGAAGGAGATAGCAATTTTTATTTCCCCCAGCAATGTGTGAGAATTCTCATCTCCCCACATTTTTTCTAGTACTGAATGATTTGATAACCCAAATAGTTTAAAATGGTATCTTTAAAAGTCTATTCTGCATAAAGACAGATGTGACCAATGGAATAGAATAGAGAGCCCAGAAATAAACTCTCAAGTATATGATTAAATGATTTTCAACAAGGGTATCAAGATCATTTAATGGGGTCGGGCACAGTGGCTCATGCCTATAATCCCAGCACTTTGGGAAGCTGAGCCTAGGAGTTCAAGATCAAACATGATGAGACCTCATCTGTACAAATAATACAAAAATTAACTGGGCATGGTGGCACATATCTGTGGTCTCAGCTATTCAAGAGGTTGAGATGGGAGGATCTCTTGAGCCTGGGAGGTCGAGGCTGCAGTGAGCCATAATCGTGCCACTGCACTCTAGCCTGGGCAACAGAGGGAGACCCTTGTCTCAAAAAAAAAATCATTTCATAGGGGAAAGAACAGTCTTTTTAACAAATGGTGTTGGGAAAATTGGATATCCATAAGCAAAAGACTCTTACTTTACATTGAATACAAAATGAACTCAAAATGGGTCAAAGATCTAATATCATAGTTAAAATTAGAAAATTCTCAGAAGAAAACATAGGAGAAAAGCTTCATGACATTGGATTTGGCAATGATTCTTGAATATGACACCAAAAGCATAGGCAACAAAAGAAAAAAATAGATAAATTGAGGATTGGGGCATGGGGCTCATGCCTGTATTCTCAGCGCTTTGGGAGGCCAAGGCAGAAGTATCACTTGAGGCCAGGAGTTTGAGACCACTTGGACAAGTTAGCCAGATCCCATCTCTGAGTGTGCCTGCAGTTCTAGCTACTCGAGAGGCTGAGGAGGGAGGATCGCTTGTATGCAGGAGTTCGAGGTTACAGTTAGCTATGATTGCACCACTGACCACTCCAGCCTGGGCAACAGAACGAGACCCTGTATATAAACAAATTTTTAAAAAAGGAAAAGAAAAAAATAAATAAATTGAACTATATCAAAATTTAAAACTTGTGTGCATCAAAGAACACTGTCAACAAAGTAAAAAGGCCACACACAGAATGGGAGAAAATATTTGAATATCATATATATGATAAAAGATTGATATCCAGAACACATGATGAACTCCTAGAACTCACTGACTGAAAAACAAACCCAACTAAAAAAATGGACAGGCCAGGCGTGGTGGCTCACGCCTGTAATCCTAGCACTTTGGGAGGCCGAGGCAGGCAGGTTGCCTGAGTTCAGGTGTTCGAGAACAGCCTGGGCAACATGGTGAAACCCTGTCTCTAATAAAATACAAAAAATTAGCTGGGTGTGGTGGCGTGCGCCTGTAGTCCCAGCTACTCAGGAGGCTGAGACAGGAGAATTGCTTGAACCTGGGAGGCGGAGGTTGCAGTGAGCCAAGATTGTGCCACTGCACTCCAGCCTGGGCGACAGAGCGAGACTCTGTCTCAAAAAAAAAAAAAAAAAAAAAAAAAAAAGGACGAAGGATTTGAATAGATATTTCTCCAAAGAAGCTATACAGATGGCCAATAATTTACATGAATGATGCTAAACATCAGTAAATGTTAGGGAAATACAAATCAAAACCACAATGAGATATCACTTCACATCCACTAGAATGATGCTAATCAAAAAAATAGGTAATAATAAGTATTGGTAAGGATATGGAGAAATTGGAACCTTCATACATTACTAATGGGAATGTAAGATGGTGCAGCATTCTAGAAAACAGCTTGGTGATTCCTCAAACATTAAACATACTAAGGTTGGTGCAAAAGCGATTGCAGTTTTTGCCATTGAAAGGAATGGCAAAAACTGCAATTATTTTTGCACCAACCTAATATAATTATCATATGATCCAGTACTTCCACTTTGGGGTATATTATATCCCAAAGAATTGACAGCAGGGCCCTGAACGGATATTTGTATAACAATTTCATAGCCATTTCTTTTTTTCTTTTTTTTTTTTTTTGAGACAGAATCTCGCTCTGTTACCAGGCTGGAGTGCAGTGACATGATCTCGGCTCACTGCAACCTCTGCTTCCCGGGTTCCAGCGATCCTCTTGCCTCAGCTTCCCGAGTAGGTGGGACTACAGGCAGTCACCACCACAACCACACATGGCTAATTTTTGTATTTTTAGTAGAGATGGGGTTTCACCACATTGCCCGGGCTGGTCTAGAACTCCTGGCCTCAAGCGATCCATCCACCTCGGCCTCTCAAAGTGCTGGAATTATAGGCGTGAACCACCACACCTGGCCCCAATTTCATAACAATATTATTCACAATAGCCAAAAGGTGGAAGCAACCCAAGTGTCCATCAACAGATGAATGGATAAACAA
Source organism: Homo sapiens (assembly GCF_000001405.40). NCBI lineage: Eukaryota > Metazoa > Chordata > Mammalia > Primates > Hominidae > Homo > Homo sapiens. The sequence continues at coordinate 144,813 of NW_009646195.1, forward strand.
CATGTAGTATATACATACATACAAGGGAATATTATTCAGCCTTAAAAGGGAATCAATAAGGCCAGGCATGATGGCTTACACCTGTAATCCCAGCACTTTGGAAGGCCGAGGCAGGCAGATCACTTGAGGTCAGGAGTTTGAGACCAGCCTGACCAACATGGTGAAACCCCATCTCTTCTAAAAATACAAAAATTAGGCCAGGCACGGTGGCTCACACCTGTAATCCTAGCACTTTGGGAGGCCAAGGCATGTGGATCACTTGAGATCAGGAGTTCGAGACCAGCCTGGCCAACATCTACTAAAAATACAAAAATTAGCTGGGCGTGGTGGCACATGCCTGTAGCCTCAGCTACTTAGGAGGCTGAGGCAGGAGAATGGCTTGAACCTGGGAGATGGAGGTTGCAGTGAGCTGAGATTGTGCCATTGTACTCCAGCCTGGACAACAGAGAAAGACTCCCTCTCAGAAAAAAAAAAAAAAAAAAATTAGCCTGGTGTGGTGGCGCATGCCTGTAATCCCAGCTACTCTGGAGGCTGAGGCCTGCGAATCGCTTGAACCTAGGAGGGGGAGGCTGCAGTGAGCCAAGATTGCACCACTGCACTCCAGCCTGGGCAACAGAGTGAGACTCAATCTTAAAAATAAATAAATATGAGGTGGATCATGCCTGTAATCCTAGCACTTTGGGAGGCTGAGGTGGGTGGATCACCTGAGGTCAGGAATTTGAGACTAGCCTGGCCAACATGGTGAAACCCCGTCTCTACTAAAAATACAAAAATTAGCCAGGCGTGGTGGCACACGCGCATGTGCACCCGTAGTCCCAGCTACTTGGGAGGCTGAGGCAGAAGAATTACTTGAACCTGAGAGACAGCAGTTGTGGTGAGCCAAGATCACACCATTGCACTCCAGCTTCGTGACAGAGCAAGACTCTATCTCAAAAATAAAAATTAAAATATAAATAAATAAAAATAAAAAAGGAATGAAAATTTGATACATGTTACAATATGATGAACCTTGAAAACATTATACTAAGTGAAATAAGCCAGATGCAAAAGGAAAAACACATGATTCCACTTATGTGAGGTACCTAGAATTGTCAGATTCACAGAGACAAAAGACAGAATACTAGTTACCAGGGGCTGGGGGTAAGGGAATTAGTAGTTTTATTTTTTATTTTTTTCTGAGACAAGGTCTCACTCTGTTGCCCAGGCTGGACTGCAGTGACGTGATCACAGCTCACTGCAGCCTCGACCTCCTAGGTTCAGGTGATCCTCCCACCTCAGCCTCCCAGGTAGCTGGGACTATAAGCATGCACTACGATGCCCAATTAATTTTGTGTGTGTGTGTGTGTTTTTAGTAGAGATGAGATTTTGCCAAGTTTCCCAGGCTGATCTCAAACTCCTGGTTTCAAACAATCCTTCTGCCTCAACCTCTCGAAGTGCTGGGAATACAATCATGAGCCACCACACCCGGCCAGAAGAATTATTGTTTAATGGGTATAGAGTTTAAGTTTTGGTGACAAAAATGTTCTGGAGATGGGTAATGGTGATGGTTGCCACTGAATTGTACAATCAAAAAGGGTTAAAACTGGCCGGGCGTGATGGCTCACGCCTGTAATCCCAGCACTTTGGGAGGCCGGGGGGGGGTGGATCACTTGAGGTCAGGAGTTCGAGACCAGCCTGACCAGTGTGGTGAAACCCCATCTCTACTAAAAATACAAAAAATTAGCCAGGCATGGTGGCGCATGCCTGTAATCCCAGCTATTTGGGAGGCTGAGGCAGGAGAATCTCTTGAACCCAGGAGGCAGAGGTTGCAGTGAGCCAAGATCGAGCCATTGCATTCCAGCCTGGGCAACAAGAGTGAAACTCCGTTTCAAAAAAAAAAAAAAATGGGGGCAGGGGGAGGCTGAGGCAGGGGAATCACATTAACCTGGGAGGCGGAGGTTGCGGTGAGCCGAGATGGCGCCACTGCACTCCAGCCTGGCGACAGAGCGAGACTGCATCTCAAAAAAAAAGGGGGGAGGTTAAAATGATAAATTTAAAATGTTATAAACGTTTTTGATTTTTGTTTTTGAGACAGTCTCGCTCTGTTGCCCAGGGGGCAGTGGAACGGCATGATCTCAGCTCACTGCAACCTCTGCCTCCCGGGGTTCAAGCGATTCTCCCTGCCTCAGCCTCCCAAGTAGCTGGGATTACAGGCGCCTGTCACTACACCCGGCTAATTTTTGTATTTTTAGTAGAGATGGGGTTTTGCCATGTTGGTCAGGCTGGTCTCAAACTCCTGATCTCAGGTGATGCACCTACCTCGGCCTCCCAAAGTGTTGGGAATGCAGGCGTGAGCCACCGTGGCCAGCCCTTTATTTTATTTTTGAGATGGAGTCTCGCTCTGTCACCCAGGCTGGAGTGCAGTGGCACGATCTCAGGTCACTTCCACCTCTGCCTCCTGGGTTCAAGTGATTCTCCTGCCTCAGCCTCCCCAGTAGCTGGGACTACAGGCATGCGCCACCACACCCAGCTAATTTTTGTATTTGCAGTACGGACGGGGTTTCACCATGTTGGCCTGGCTGGTTTTGAACTCCTGATCTCAAGTGATCTGCCTGCCTCAGCCTCCCAAAGTGCTGGGATTACAGGCGTGAGCCACCACATCCGACTTTTATTTTATTTTTGAGATAGGGTCTTCCTCTGTCTTTCAGGCTGGAGTGCAGTGGCATGATCTCAGCTCCCTGCAACCTCTGCCTCCTGGACTCAGGCCATCCTCCCACCTCAGCCTCCCAAGTAGCTGGGACTACAGGGGTACACCATCATATCCAGCTAATTTTTAAGTTTTTTGTAGAGACAGGCTTTCCACCATGTTGCCCAGGCTGGTTTCGAACTCCTGCGCTGAAGCGATTTGCCCACCTTGGCCTCCCAAAGTGCTGAGATTACAGGTGTGAACTACCATGCCTAGCCAAAAGTATTTTGTATTTTCATGATTACTAGTGAAGTTGCGCATCTGATTTTTGACATTTTCTATTTCATCTTTTATAAATTGCCTGCTGTTATTCATTGTCCATTTTTCTCTGCTGGATTGTTTATCTTTTTGTTATTAATTTATAGGAGTTCCTTTTACATTCATAGTATTTGTCTTTTGTCTACAAATATTGCCTTTCATTTGATTTAGTTTACGTTGTCTTTTGATACGCACAAATTTCACAGAATGGCTGCCAGAGTCCTACTGCTGCTACCAGGTGAATTTAGTATGGTGGTAGGTAGAAGGAGTTTCCAGAAAACAGGATGCTGGACAGAAAACCTAATGGGTGCCTACTATATAAACTTTAGTAAAGATGTTACCTTTCTAGCAATGAACTGCAAGGAAATGTCAGAGACACCAGTTATGGGTGCTGTTAGCTATCTGAGTCATGGTGTTCTTGTCACCATTCACTCATTTATTCCTCCAATCATGTATTTATTTATTTATTCAGCAAATATTTATTAAATATTTATTATTATGTAGGGCATAACATACTAAGCACTGTATTGTAACTAGACAACTGAGACATGGGCTCTCCTTTTGACAGGTTCAGTGTCTATTTAGGGAGGTAGAAATACTAAATTATCAATAATAGCAAAAAGATGAGTACCACACTAGAAAGATAATGGTGCTTCAGGCTAGAAAGCTGTAGACATAACAAGTGAATCACCAGGTGCAGTGCCTCACGCCTGTAATCCCAACATTTTGGGAGGCCGAGGAGGGCAGATCACTTGAGGCCAGAAGTTCGAGACCAGCCTGGCCAACATGGTGAAACCCCATCTCTACCAAAAATGCAAAAATTAGCTGGGCATGGTGGCGCATGCCTGTAATCCCAGCTACTTGGGAGGCTGAGGCAGGAGAATCACTTGAACCCAGGAGGCGGGTTGCAGTGAGCTGAGATCACACCACTGCACTCTAGCCTAGCCGACAGAGCGAGACTCCCATCCCCCCCCACCAAAAAAAAAGTGAATGGATTTAAGCTATATTTTTAAAGCAAAACTGAACGAACTTGCTGATGATTTGATATAGGTATCAAAGAAGCATTGAAGGTGATTCCTAGGATCTTGACTCAAGCAACTTTGAATATTCAGAAGAGCCTTTTACTGAGCTAGAGAAGACTGAGATTAAGATAGAGGTTCCAGGAAGAAAAATCAAAAGTTCTGTTTTAGATATATTAAGTAGTTTGAGATGCCTACTAGATATGTCAGTGATTCGTCATGTGTATTTAATATATGAGACTAGGAGCTCAAGGAAAAGAGGTAAGGCTGGATTATAAATTAGGTAGTCAATGGAAGATAGATGGTATTTAAAGTATGGGGCTGGATGGAATCACCTAGGGCAAACTATGGATAGAGTAGAAAAGAGCAAAAGGTAGAGTGAATGTTTAGAAGTTAGGTCAAGGAAGAAGAGGATCCAACCAAGATGACTGAGGGTGGCCAAGGAGGCAAGAAGAACACCAGAAGAATGGTGCCCTAGAAGGTGAGAACGAAATTATTTTGGCTGGGCGCAGTGGCTCATGCCTGTAATCCCAGCACTTTGGGAGGCTGAGGAGGGAGGATTGCTTGAGTTCAGGAGTTAGAGACCAGCCTAGGCAACATGGCAAAACTCCATCTCTCCAAAAATTAATAATAAAAAATAGCCGGGGATGATGGCCTGCACCTGTAGTCCCAGCTACTCGGGAGGCTGAGGTGGGAGGATCGGTTGAGCCCAGAGCCTGACGTTGCAGTGAATTGCACCACTGCCCTCCAGCCTGGGTGACAGAGTGAGACATTGTATCTAAAAAATACCAGAAAGAAAGAAGTTATTTCAAGGGGAGAGTAGTCAACAGGGTTGAATACTGTTTTTGTTTTGTTATTTATTTATTTAGACACAGGGCCTCACTCTGTTGCCCAGGTTGGAGTGCAGTGGCACTATCACAGTTCACTGGAACCTCGACTTCTGAAGCTCAAGCAATCCTCCCACCTCAGCCTCCCAAGTAGCTGGGACTATAGGTGCACACCACTATGACCGGCTAATTGTTAAATTTTTTGTAGAGACCGGGGGGTTTCGCCATGTTGCCCATGCTGGTCTCCAGCTCCTGGGCTCAAATGATCTGCCTGCCTTGGCCTCCCAAAGTGTTGGGATTATAGGCGTAAGCCACCATGCCCAGCCAAAAACAAGTTTTTGAATAGATTATATCACATGGTACAAAATTTTAAAGATACCAAAGGATATACAGTGAAAAGTCTCACTGACACACCTTTCCTTCAGCCACAGTGTTTTTCTCCCTGAATTCAATATTTCTAGGCTCTTATGAATCCTTCTGGAAATATTCTCTGTATATACAAGCAATTGTGTGTGTGTTCTTCTACCTTCCTTCTTTCTAAACAAATACACAAATGGCAACTCATTGTACACACTGTTTCTGTCCCTTGCTTTTCTACTTATCTATCTATCTTGGAGATTGTTCCATATATTTATATAGAAAGGTCTTTCACTTTCTTTTTTTTTTTTTTGAAGTTTTTTTCTTTTTTTTTTTCTGCTTCGCTGATTCTCTGAATTGCTTTATTTATGGCTCCATTGTATTGTTACACCTTAATTTATTTATTCAATCCCTTAGTGACTCCTATTGATGAATATTTAGGTTGTTTCCAATCTTTTGCTATTACAAGTAAAGGTGCAATGAATAATTTTTTACATAGAGTATTTCATATGTGTGGCAATGTATTTGTAGGATAAAATTACTTAGAAGAACTGCTGAGTCAAAGGGTAAGTACATTTGCGACTTTGATAGATAAGGTGCCAAAATGCTTCTATGGGGCCGGGTGCGGTGGCTCATGCCTGTAATCCCAGCATTTTGGGAGGCCAAAGCGGGTGAGTCACCTGGGTTCGGGAGTTTGAGAACAGCCTGGCCAAAATGGTGAAACCCTGTCTGCACCAAAAAATACAAAAATTAGTTGGGCATGGTGGCATGCACCTGTAGTGCCAGCTACTAGGGGGGCTGAGGTGGGCAGAATCTCTTAAACCTGAGAGATGGAGGTTGCAGTGAGCCAAGATTGTGTCACTGCACTTCAGCCTGGGTGACAGAGCAAGATTCCATCTCAAAAAAAAAAAAAAAGCTTCTGTGGAATTTGTACCAATGTCTCTCCCACCAGCAATGATGAGAAGGCCTGCTTCCCTATATAGTGTGTTATCAATTTTTTATCTTTTTTTTGAGATGAGTCTCGCACTCTCGCCCAGGCTGGAGTGCAGTGGCGCCATCTCTGCTCACTGCAAGCTCTGCCACCAGGGTTCACACCATTCTCCTGCCCTCAGCCTCCTGAGTAGCTGGGACTGCAGGCACCCGCCACCACGCCCGGCTATTTTTTTGTATTTTTAGTAGAGATGGGGTTTCACCGTGTTAGACAGGATGGTCTCAATCTCCTGACCTAGTGATCCGCCCATCTCAGCCTCCCAAAGTGCTGGGGTTACAGGCATGATCCACTGCGTATTTATTTATTTTTAAGATGGAGTCTCACTCTGTCGCCCAGGCTGGAGTGCAGTGGTGCAATCTTGGCTCACTGCAACCTCCCCCTCCTAGGTTCAAGCGATTCTCAGGCCTCAGTTTTTTATCTTTGCCAATCTGATAAGTGAAAAATGGTCTTTTGGTGTACTTATTTAATTTTAATTTCTTTTGAGTGAAGTTGAACATATTTCCAAAACTTTAAAAGCTATTTGTATTCCTTTTTCTTTGAATTGTCTCTTCCTACCCTTTGCTAATTTTTCTTTTCTTTTTCTTTTTCCTTTTTTTTTTTTTTTTTTTTGACAGAGTCTCGCTCTGTTGCCAAGGCTGGAGTACAGTGGCATGATCTCGGTTCACTGCAACCTCTGCCTCCTGGGTTCAAGCAATTGTCCTGCCTCAGCCTCTCGAGTAGATGGGATTAATAGGTGTGCGCCACCACGCCCGGCTAATTTTTGTATTTTTAGTAGAGATGGGGTTCACCACGTTGGCCAGGCTGGTCTCGGAACTCCTGGCCTCAAGTAATCCGCCCTCCTCAGCCTCCCGAAGTGCTAGGATTATAGGCATGAGCCACCGCGCCTGGCCCCTTTGCTCATTTTTCTAATGAATTGTTGGTCTTTTTCTTATTGATTTGTAGCTCTTTGGCCAGGCTGTAGTGCAGTGGTGTGATCTCAGCTCACTGCAACCTCTGCCTGCTGGGCTCAAGCAATCCTCCCACCTCAGCTTCCAGAGTAGCTGCGACTACAAGGGCGTGCCACTGTGCCCAGCTAATGTGTGTGTGTGTGTGTGTGTGTGTGTGTGTGTGTGTGTGTGTGTGTGTGTGTTTTGTAGAGACAGGGGGGTTTCACCATGTTGCCCAGGCTGGTCTCCAGCTCCTGGGCTCAAGCGATCCGCCCACCTCGGCCTCTCAAAGTGCTGGGATTGCAGGCGTGAGCCACTGAGCCCAGCCTATAGGAGCTCTTAATATATTAGGCACATTATCCCTCTGTCATGTGAGTTGTGAGTGTCTTTTCATTTTGTTAATGGTGATTGTTTTTTCCTGCAGAAATTTTTTATTCTTGTATAGTTGAATTTATCCAAGTTTTGTGTCAAACTTTAAAAACCACCTCCACTCGAAAGTTACTTTTCTTCCCTTAATTTCCCAGAAGAGTTTTTTAAGTATTGGGAAAGAGAAACTAGAACATGCTTGTATATTTTCAATAGAAAGGAAGAAATTGATGAATCAGGAGAGATTTGGGAAATTTTCAGCTGCAAAGCCCATGACTAGGCTAGAGGGGATGGGAAACAGAGCCCAGATGGAATGATTGGCTTTGGAACAGCCTCACTTCTCCCCTTGTCACAGGAGGGAAGACAGGATATGGGTTCTGATGCAGGTAGGTTGGGGGATTTGGTGGTGAGAGGATGACAAAGTTCCTATCTGCTTGCCTATGTTTTCCCAATGACGTAAAAGGCAAATTCGTTAGCTGAGAGAGCAGAGCAGGAAAAAGCTGTTAAGGTTTGAGGAGAGATGGAGTTTAGAGGTTTAGAGGCCAGGTTGATTAGCAATTCTAACTTCATTTTCCCCCCTTGAAACAAAAGAAAATTTATTTAAAGTTTTTATCAGTATAATGATTTGATCTGATGGAATGACTCTGTTTCCCTTTGAAAACTTCTTTCTTCTTAAGGAATGGTTCATATGGTTATATTTTTCTTTTCTTTTTTTTTCGAGATGGAGTCTTGCTCTATCGCCCAGATTGGAATGCAATGGCATGATCTCAGCTCACTGCAACCTCCGCCTCCCGGGTTCAAGTGATTCTTGTGCCTCAGCCCCCTGAGTAGCTGGGATTACAGGTGTGCCCCACCACACCTGGCTAATTTTTTGTTGTTGTTGTTTTGTTTTTGAGACGCAGTCTCATTCTGTTTCCCAGGCTAGAGTGCAGTGGCACGATTTCGGCTCACTAAAACCTCTGCCTCCCGGGTTCAAGCGATTGTCCTGCCTTAGCCTCCTGAGTAGCTGGGATTACAGGCTCGTGCCACCACACCCAGCTAATATTTGTATTTTTAGTAGAGACAGGGTTTCTCCATGTTGGTCAGACTGGTCTCAAACTCCCGATCTCTGGTGTTCTGCCTGCCTCGGCCTCCCAAAGTATTGGGATTACAGGTGTGAGCCGCTGTACCCGGCCCACACCTGGCTAATTTTTGTAATTTTATTAGAGAAAGGGTTTCACCATGTTGGCCAGGCTGGTCTCGAGCTCCTGGCCTCATGTGATCTGCCGGCCTCGGCTTCCCAAAGTACTGGGATTACAGGTGTGAGCCACTGTGCCCAACCATCATATGGTTATATTTTTCTGACAGTATAAATGACTTGGCCTCAATGTGCTATACCTGGGCTCCTAGCAGGGTGAGCTTGTTTTCAAGAAGTGTTTGGGTTCATTCTTTTTTTTTTTTTGAGATGGAGTCTCGCTCTGTTGCCCAGGCTGGAGTGTAATGGCATGATCTCGGCTCACTGCAACTTCTGACCCCCAGGGTTCAAGTGATTCTTGTGCCTCAGCCTCCCAAGTAGGTGAAATTAACAGCGCCCACCACCATGCCCAGCGAATTTTTTTGTATTTTCAGTTGAGACAGGGTTTCACCATGTTGGCCAGGCTGGTTTCGAACTCCTGACCCAAAGTGATACACCCACCTTGGCCTCGCAAAGTGCTAGGATTACAGATGTGAGCCACCGCGCCTGGCCTGGGTTCACTCTTTGGATGACAATTGAAAGCTTCTCCATAAATAATTCATTTTCTTTTTTTCCTTTTTTTTTTTTAATGGAGTCTCACTTTGTCACCCAGGCTGGAGTGCAGTGGCGCGATCTCAGCTCACTGCAACCTCCGCATCCCGGGTTCAAGCAATTCTCCTGCCTCAGCCTCCCGAGTAGCTGGGATTACAGGCGTGTGCCACCACGCCCAGCTAATTTTTGTATTTTTAACAGAGACAGGGTTTAGCCATGATGGCCAGGATGGTCTCAATCTCTTGACCTCGTGTTCCACCCACCTCCACTTCCCAAAGTGCTGGGATTACAGTCGTGAGCCACGGTGCCCAGCCAAATAATTCATTTTCTACACTTACCACACAGATGCTAAAAGCTCAACAACTTGAGTTTGAGTTATTTGCCTTCTCTTTGTTCACTTCGCATTTATATTATATGTCCCTAAAGAGAGAATTTGATTGGATTGATTTGCCATTACTTGACATTGAGTGCTGCTTTTGAACAGCTATTTTTTGAAGTTCAAAATATCCTATTGCCTCAATGGCAGTAGGTAGCTTGCATATAGTGGCCTTTGACTTATGTTTAAGCTACTGGTTAATCAGCTGTGATAGCTGGGTTTGTTTCATTCAAAACAGGTCATATGAGTCATCGCACTTGAGCAAGAACAGCATCTCACTTTACCTAGAAGGGGGCCATGTACATGGCAAGCCCAGTTGGCTGCATGGACTTCATTCAGCTGTTCTGGAAAAGTGTTCATATCCTTTGTCTCAGTAATTCTACATCTGGCAATCTAACCTAAGGAAGTAATCTTTAGGAGACAGTATAGTAGAGTGGTTAAGAACATACATGTTTGGGCTGGGTACGTCCCCACCCCCCCCCAAAAAAAAAGAAAAAAAGAACATACATCCTTTGGAGTCAGACGTATTTAGAATCGAATCCCAAATGGAAATGTAAAATAAGTCACTTCTAGAGTTTTATTTCTCTGCTCCTCAAGTCATTGCTATGCAATTTTTTTTTTTTTTTTTTGAGACTCAAAGTGAGTCTCACTTTGTCCCCCAGGCTGGAGTGCAGTGGTGTGATCTCAGCTCACTGCAACCTCCGCCTCCCAGGTTCAAGTGATTCTCCTGCCTCAGTCTCCCGAGTAGCTGGGATTAGAGGCGTCCTCTACCACACCCACCTAATTTTTGTATTTTTAGTAGAGACAGGGCTTCACCATGTTGGCCAGGCTGGTCTTGAACTCCTTACCTCAGGTGATCCGCCCACCTCGGCCTCCCAAAATGCTGGGATTATAGGCGTGAGCCACCGCTCCCGGCCTGTTTTGTTTTTTAAATTTTTATTTATTTATTAATTTTTGAGACAGAGTCTCCTCTGTCGCCCCGGCCGAAGCTCAGTGGCACAATCTCATCTCACTGCAACGTCTACCTCCCAGGTTCAAGCGATTCTCCTGCATCAGTCTCCAGAGTAGCTGGGATTACAGGTGTGCACCACCATGCCTGACTAATTTTTTGTATTTTTAGGAGAGACAGAGTTTCGCCATGTTGCCCAGGCTGGTCTCAAACTCCTGAGCTCAGACAATCCACCCGCCTTGGCCTCCTAAAATGCTAGGATTACAGGCGTGTGCCACCACGCTGGACTTAAATATATTTTTAATGTTTTAATGTTTAATTTTTATGGATACATAGTAAATGTACATATTTATGGGGTACATGAGATATTTTGATACAGGCAAACAATGTGTAATGATCACATCACAGTAAATGGGGTATCTATAACCTTAGGCACTCATCATTTATTTGTGTTATGAACATTCCAATTGTATTCCCTCAGTTATTCTTTTTTTTTTGGGTTTTTTTTTGAGATGGAATTTTGCTCTTGTTGCCCAGGCTGGAATGCAATGGTGTGATCTCGCCTCTATGCAATCTCCACTTCCCGGGATCAAGTGATTCTCCTGCCTCAGCCCCCTGTGTAGCTGGGATTATAGGCACCCGCCACCACACCCAGCTAATTTTTGTAATTTTATTAGAGACAGGGTTTCACCATGTTGGCCAGGCTAGTCTCAAACTCCTGACCTCAGGTGATCCACCTGCCTCAGCCTCCCAAAGTGCTGGGATTAGAGGCGTGAGCCACCATGCCTGGCTTCCCTCAGTTATTCTAAAATGGACAACAAATTATTGCTGACTATAGTTATCCTGTTGTGCTGTCAAATACTAGATCTTATTCATTGTATCTGACTATATTTTTGTACATGTCTTGTTTTTTAAATGTTTCTTCCTTGGGAAATAATTCACATACCACAAAATTCACTCATTTAAAGTGTATGGTTTTATTTTTTGAGACAGAGTCTTGCCCTGTTGACCAGGCTGGAGTGCAGTGGCACAATCTCGACTCACTGCAACCTCCTCCTCCCAGGCTCAAGCCATCTTCCCACCTCAGCCTCCTGAGTAGCTGGGATGACAGGCACACACCACCACACCTGGCTAATTTTTTAATTTTTTGTCAAAACGAGGGTTTTGCCACATTGCCCAGGCTGGTTTCAAACCCCTGAGCTCAAGTGATCTGCCTGCCTCAGCCTCCCAAAGTGCTGGGATTACAGGTGTGACCCACCGCACCTGGCCTACAGTTTTCTTTTAAAGAGACAGGCTCTTACTCGGTTACCCAGGCTGGTCTTGAATTCCTGGCCCCAAGTGATTCTCTCACCTCAGCCTTCTGAGTAACTGGGATTACAGGTGAGAGCCACCACACCTGGCTAATGGGTACAATGTAATAATTTTAATATATTCACAGAGTTGTGCAACCGTCACCACATTTTAGAACATTTTAATCATCCCCAAAAGAAACACCCTGCCCATTAGTCACTCCCCATCCTGTAGAACCAAATTCACTTTGTCTCTATGGATCTATTCTGGATTTTTCATGTAATGGAATCTTACAATATGTGGTCTTTTGTGACTAGATTCTTTCATTTAGCATAATGTTTCCAGGTTCATCCATGTTATAGCATATACCAATATTTGATTTCTTTTCTTTTCTTTTTTTTTTTTTTTTTCTTGAGACAGGGTCTCATTCTATCGCCCAGGCTGGATGGAGTGCAGTGGCACAATCATGGCTTACAGAAGCCTCCACCTCCCTGGGCTCAAGCAATTTTCCTACCTCAGCCTACCGAGTAGCTGAGACTACAGGCGCACAGCACCATGCCTAACTTATATATAAAAAATATATTATATATATATAATTATATATTTTATTTATATATATATATATATATATATATAGTATTTCTGGTAGAGATGGGGTTTCACCATGTTGCCCAGGCTGCCCAGCTAATTTTTAAATTTTTTATAGAAATGGGTTTTCACCACATTGCCCAGGCTGGTCTTGAGCTCCTGGGCTCAAGTAATTCTGTTGCCTCGGCCTCCCAAAGTTCTGGGATTGGAGGCATGAGACACATTGCCCAGGCTTGGTTCTGTTTTACTGCTGAATAATACTCTATTGAATGAATATATCACTTTCTTTTCCTTTTTCTTTTCTTTTTTTTTTTTTTTTGAGATGGAGTCTCATTCTGTTGCTGAAGCTGCAGTGCAGTGGCGCGATCTCGACTCACTGCAACCTCCGTGATTCTCCTGCCTCAGTCTCCCAAGTAGCTGGGATTACAGGCGTGCAACACCATGCCCAGCTAATTTTTGTATTTTTAGTAGAGACTGGGTTTTGCCATGTTGACCAGGCTGGTCTTGAACTCCTGACCTCAGGTGATCCGCCCGCCTCGGCCTCCCAAAGTGCTGGGATTACAGGCGTGAGCCACCATGTGTGGCCTACTTTCAATGATCTATTTGATAGTTGATGAACATTTAGATTGCTTATAAATAACACTGTTGTGAACATTTATGTACAACTTTTTGCATACACATTTTTCTGTGGATACATGTTTTTATTTTTGTAGAAATACCTCGAAGTGGAATTGCTGGGTCATAGTGTAACTCTGCTTTTAACTTTTCGGGGTATTGCCAAACTGTTTTCCAAAATGCCGCACCATGTTACATTACTACCAACAATGTATAAGGGTTCCAAATTCTCCACATCTTCATCAACACGTCTTTCTTGATTGTTGGTGGGGTTTCTTTGTTTTGTTTTTGTTTTTGAGACAGGCTGGAGTGCAGTGGTGTGATCACAGCTCCCTGTAGCCTAGAACTTCCTGGCTGAAATGATCCTCCCACCTGAGCCTCTTGAGTAGCTGGGACCACAGGTGTGCGCCACCACATCTGACTTTTTTAAAACTTGTTTTTGTAGAGATGGGGTCTCCCTATGTTGTGCAGGCTGGTCTCAAACTCCTGAGTTCAATTGATCCTCCCGCTTTAGCCTCCCAAAGTACTGGGATTACAGTGCGAGCCACCATGCCCAGCCAACACTTTTTATTAAAGGTTCAACATCCCTAATCTGAAATTCCGAAATCTGAAATTATCCAAAATGTGAAACTTTTTGAGCACTGACATGACACCACAAGTGGAAAATTTCATACCTGACCTTATATGATGGGCCACTGTCAAAATGCAGGTACACAACATACAGCATCCCCAAGGGAAAAATAAAATTCGCTTCAGGCTATGTTTATAAGGTGTATATGAAACATAAGTGAATTTCATGTTTAAAAATTCCAAAACATTTCTGGTCCCAAGCATTTCCAATAGGAAATTTTCAACATGTTTCTGCTGTCTTTTTTTTTTTTTTTTTTTTTTTTTTGAGACAGGGTCTTACTCTATCATCCAGGCTGGAGTGCACTCTCACCACTCTTGGCCTGTAAAGCCTAAAGCCTAAAATATTTACTATCTGCTTTTTTTTTTTTTTTAACTCACATGTATGTTTACACACACACATACAGTCTTTCTCTGTCGCCCAGGCTGGGGTGCAGTGGTGTGATCTTGGCTCACTATAACCTCTGCTTCCCAGGTTCAAGTGATTCTCCTGCCTCAGCCTCCCAAATAGCTGGCATTACAGGCACCTGCCACCATGCCTGGCTAATTTTTGTATTTTCAGTAGAGACACGGTTTCACTATGTTAGCCAGGCTGGTCTCGAACTCCTGACCTCAGATGATCCATCCGCCTCGCCTCCCAAAGTGCTGGGATTACAGGCGTGAGCCACCCTGCCTGGCCACTATCTGCTTCTCTTTTTTTTGAGTAGTCTTGCTCTGTTGCCCAGGCTGGAGTGCAGTGGTGCAATCTCGGCTCACTGTAACCTCTGTCTCCCGGGTTCAAGCGATTGTCCTGCCTCAGCCTCCCTAGTAGCTGGGATTACAGGTGCACACCACCATACTCGGCTAATTTTTGTATTTTTTGTAGAGACGGGGTTTTGCCAGGCTGGTCTCGAACTCCTGACCTCAGGTGATCTGCCTGCCTCAGCCTCCCAAAGTGCTGGGATTACATATCTGCTTCTTTATTTAAAAAATGTGCTGACCCCAGGTTTAGAGGAGTTAGAGATTGCTTCCTAAAGGGGTGATATTTAAGATGAGACATGGGGACACCATAGGAGCACTTCTGAAAAAGGTGCAGCATGAGAAAAGGTATGAAGAGATATGTTAGTAACATCCTAGAGAGGAATCATTCATTGAAGTAAAAACTGCACTAGGTTAACCCCACTCTCCATCACTGCAGCTTACAACTACAGGACCTGAAGCAACAAGACACTGACAGGAAAACACGAGACACAGCATCAAGATGGTAGCACAGCTCACGGCCCACATCCCCACTCCCCTCCTCCTCACACAAAGGCCCAAAGCAAATCTTTGCATGATCACTTATTACCGTTTGTAAACGTTTAGTTAACTGAGTTTTGACCACAACTGAGTTTTGGTTCCAACTTTGATGGGGCAGAGGGCCTGAAGAAAGGATGAGCTGGCCACGCGCAGTGGCTCATGCCTGTAATCCCAACACTTTCGGAGGCCGAAGCAGGCGGATCACCTGAGGTTGGGAGTTTGAGACCAGCCTGACCAACATGGAGAAACCCCGTCTCTACTAAAAATACAAAATTAGCCAGGTGTGGTGGCACATGCCTATGATCCCAGCTACTCGGGAGGCTGAGACAGGAGAATCACTTGAACCAGGGAGGCAGAGGTTGCAGTAAGCCGAGATCGCTCCATTGCACTTCAGCCTGGACAACAAGAGCGAAACTCTGTCTCAAAAAAATATACATATTTTTAGTAGAGACAGGGTCTCACCATGTTGGCCAGGCTGGTTTCAAACTCCTGACCTCAAGTGATCCACCTGCCTCGGCCTCCCAAAGTGCTAGGGTTATAGGTGTGAGCCACCACACCCGGCTGGACACTCAATTTTAAATGATGTTACATTTTAAAAATTGGGTACATTGGTTTTGGGGGTTTGCTTGAGACAGGGTCTCTCTGTCGCCCAGACAGGAGTGCAGCATCAAGATCTCAGCTCACTGCAACCTCTGACTCCTGGGCTCAAGCAATCCTCCCACTGGCTGACGCCACCACACTGGGCTAATTTTTTAAGTTCCTTTTTTTTTTTTGTAGAGACAGGGTCTCACTATATTGCCCAGGCTGTTCCTAAACTCCCTGGCTCAAGTGATCCTCCCACCTTCTCCCTTCAAAGTGCTAGGATTACAGGTATGAGCCACCACACCCCACCGGGTACGTTGGTTTTAGTTTTGTTGGTTTTATTTATTTATTTAATTTATTTGTATTATTACTATTTTTTGAGATGGAGTCTCGCTCTGTTGCCCAGGCTGGAGTGCAGTGGCTCGATTTCGGCTCACCACAACCTCCGCCTCCTGGGTTCAGGCCATTCTCCTGCCTCAGCCTCCTGAGTAGCTGGGACTACAGGCATGTGTCACCATGCCTGGGTAATTTTTGTGTTTTTAGTAGAGACGGGGTTTCTACATGTTGGTTGGGCTGGTCTCAAACTCCCGACCTCAGGTGATCTGCCCACCTTGGCCTCTTAAAGTGCTGGGATTACAGGCGTGAGCCACCACGCCTGGCCTATGTTGTTATTAACTTAAAGCTGAAATAACTTAAAACTACAAATTGGGTCTTTTTTATGTCAGAAAAACAAACAAAAACCCACTGTGTTTGGAAGGCTCCCTGTAATCTATAAGAAGATCTTTAAATCTTACCAGGTTTCTAAATTATTTTCTCTTCTTCCTTTCTTTCCTTCTTTCTTTCTTTCTTTCTTTCTTTCTTTCTT
Source organism: Homo sapiens (assembly GCF_000001405.40). Lineage (NCBI taxonomy): Eukaryota > Metazoa > Chordata > Mammalia > Primates > Hominidae > Homo > Homo sapiens. Next base: position 161,217 of record NW_009646195.1, read on the forward strand.
TCTTTCTTTCTTTCCTTCTTTTTTGTTGTTGTTGTTGTTGACAGATTCTCGTTCTTGTTGCCCAGGCTGCAGTGCAGTGGTGCAATCTTGGCTCACTGCAACCTCCGCCTCCTGGGTTCAAGTGATTCTCCTGCCTCAGCCTCCTAAGTAGCTGGGATTACAGGCGCCCGCCACCATGCCCAGCTAATTTTTGTATTTTTAGTAGAGAGGGGGTTTCGCTATGTTGGCAGGGCTGGTCTCGAACTCCTGATCTCAAGTGATCTGCCTGCCTCGGCCTCCCAAAGTGTTGGGATTACAGGTGTGAGCCACTGCGCCACACCTTTTCCTGGTTTTAAATGATCCTCTCACCTTGGTCTCCCAAAGTGCTGGGATTACAGGGTTGAGCCACCCTGTCCAGCTATTTAGATTTAGGATTGAAAGGACTAATGGTCTGAAATCAGAAATTAGGAGGACCTAAAAAGAATAGAACCAATGGAGAACTTTTTTTTGGGACAGAGTCACTCTGTTGCCCATGCTGGAGTGCAGTGGCAGGATCTCAGCTCACTGCAACCTGCGCCTCCCAAGCTCAAGCGATTCTTATGCATCAGCCTCCCAAGTAGCTGGGACTACAGGTGCACGCCACCACACCCATTACGCCCAGCTTATTTTTGTATTTTTGTAGAGACGAGGTTTTGTCATGTTGCCCAGGCTGGTTTGGAACTCCTGGGCTCAAGGTAATCACCCTGCTTGGCCTCCCAAAGTGCTGGGATTACACCATGAGCCACCACACCCAGCCAATCAAAGGAGAAGGTTGGTAGAAAAAGTTGTATCTAGCTAAATTATATAAGCAAAAAAGTACTATGTTGGCCAGGCGCAGTGGCTCTCACCTGTAATCCCAGCACTTTGGGAGGCCGAGGTGGCTGGATCGCTTGAGGCCAGGTGTTGGAGACCAGCGTGGGCAACATGGCAAAACCTCGTCTCTACAAAAAATAGAAAAAATTAGCCAGGTGTAGTGGTGCACAACTGTAGTCCCAGCTACTTGGGAGGCTGAGGCAGGAGGATCGCCTGTGTCCAGGAGGCGGAGATGGCAGCGAGTTGAGATCGTGCCATTGCACTCCAGCCTGGGTGACAGAAATAAAACCCTGTCTCAAAAAAGACAACAATGACAAAAAGAAAAGGACTATGTTAACGTCTCAATTTTCTATAGAAGGTAATTTATCCAACAATCTAGGGTATCAGTAGGGGAATTGAGAATACTAGAGCAATTTAAAAAGACCATTGAACTGCTTGAAAAGCTAATACTATTCACTTCCAGGAAAGACTGTCAGATTCAAAGCCTATTTGCTCTTACTTTACACACAATGCTAATAAATTTTGTTACCTAGTTTCCTAGGACACAGATTAGGAAGAGAATTGCTAAAGCCAGGCACCCAGGAAGTAGCAAGTGGTATTATCTAATATCTTAACAAAGGATGGGATAAAACAGAAAGAAAATTATTGGAAGGACATAAAAGAACTCAAAATCACACTAGCCTCGGATCATTTTGGGTAGGGCAAAAAGCATAGCATATTTTAATATTTCTCAGAGATGCATTACTTTGGAGTTTCATTCTGAATGCTAATAATGACCAAGAAAATAAGAAGAGTTTAAATTATATTTGCTATACATTTCAAGAAGGCAGGGATCTATTTTATTTAAAATAAATTTTCATTAAAGTCATATTTTAAAACATTTTATACTGAAAGGGATTAGTTTTAATTATTTAGAAAATGAATTCAGGCTTTTCACATTATCCAAAGGTGTCAGATAAATGAAGCCTTAATGAATTATAATAGCAAAGTCAGAGTAAATACATACCTGTTTACATTGACATATCTTCTAAATGTGTCTTTAGATCTGGTTGGCTGCTTTGACCCCCAAGGAAGAGAGAATAAATAATGCATTTCCCTACAAGCTGATTAACAGTAAAAGTTAAAAAGATCCCATTGATATGCTCAGCCCCTCGGAAGACAAAATGAGTAGAAAATAGGAAAGGCATGTCATACTTTGTTCTGAGTTCTCAAGGATTAAGGAATGGTCATACAAACCAACCCACAATGTAATGTTTATACTGTTAAATAATACAAAACTATATAAATTAACAAAGATTATATATGAAAACAATTCTGTGGCTTATGCATTATATATATATATATATATATATATATGACATTGCTTAGAAATTGTTTAGAACTACAGCACACATATATGGCATTGCTTAGAACTATAGCATACATATATGCTAGAGTTTAAGTGTTTAAAAGGCTGGGCGCGGTGGCTCACGCCTGAAATCCCAGCACTTTGGGAGGCCGAGGCGGGCGGATCACGAGGTCAGGAAATCGAGATCATCCTGGCTAACATGGTGAAACCCTGTCTCTACTAAAAATACAAAAAATTAGCTGGGCGTGGTGGTGGGTGCCTGTAGTCCCAGCTACTTGGGAGGCTGAGGCAGAAGAATGGCGTGAACCCTGGAAGGCAGAGCTTGCAGTGAGCCGAGATCGCGCCACTGCACTCCAGCCTGGGTGACAGAGCGAGACTTTGTCTCAAAAAAAAAAAAAAAAAGTTTAAGAATTTAATAAGGTCATGAAATCCATTAATGGTATGGTTATCACTTTGGGATGCTTCTGAGGCTCTCAGGGAGTTATTGGAAGGTCAAAGTAAGATGAAGGCAGAAGATTCTGTGAGGCTATCAGCCAAGACCACCTGAGCCCATCTGCTTTTCTTCTGTTTTTTGTTTTGTTTTGTTTTGTATTTTGAGACTGAGTCTCACTCTGTCGCCCAGGCTTGAGTGGAGTGGCACGATCTCGGCTCACTGAAACCTCCACCTCCCAGGTTCAAGTGATTCTCCTGCCTCAGCCTTCCCAGTAGCTGGGATTACAGGCGCCCGCCACCACCTCCAGTTAACATTTGTATTTTTAATTGAGACGGGGTTTCACCATTTCAACCAGGCTGGTCTCAAACTCCTGATCTCAAATGATCAGCCTGCCTCAGCCTCCCAAAGTGCTGGGATTACAGGTGTGAGCCACTACACCCAGTCCATCTGCTTTTCTTCTTTGCTGTCTAAGACAGCAAGGTGTTTCTTGCCTGTTTTACTTAGGGGTAACAGGACTCATCAAGACACACTGAGGGACTCAGCCAAGCACACCACAGGTCTTAGGGCTGCAGTCTACTGTTACATTTCCCTACCTAGAAGCTAAACCCCATGGGAGCTGGAACCTTGTCTGTCTTGTGTATAGCACAAGGCTAGCATGTGGTAGTATACAAACATTTCTTGAATAAATATCATAGAGTGGCAATGAGAGTCTGAGGTAGATAAGTGCCTGCAGCCTTAATTTGGAAAGATTTTCCCAGGAATAAGAGCTTGAAGTGGAGATATACGGTCTACTCAGGGAGTTCAGGGTCGTGCATGATAATCTGTAATGGAACTATGCACCCCAGAATGAACTTTGACAAGGTCCCAGATTCAGGCATGAACATTTAGGGAAAGTATTTTAATTACTATGCTAGTTTTTCTTTGGGACTGATAATTTAAGTGTGTTTCTTAAAAATTTGTGTTTGGGTAGCTTTATTTATTCAGGAAGAACATCTTTATTTTTTTGGAAAACAGAAAACCTTTTCCTTGTTTTGCCATTCAGCAGGGCAGAATGTTTAGACTGATTCTTTTTTATAGAAGTAACTTAAGCATACCCAAATGTCTAAGTATACAGTTGTACCCCTTGACGTGACAAGAGAAAACAATCCAGGTGGAAATGAACAGTGAGAGACGTGTAGGTTCCCTATTCTTTGAGGAGTAACATAGGGAAATGAAAGTGAACTGAAGAGAGGAAGAAAAGTGGAAGCTGAAGAAACAGCCAAGATAATCAGGAAGAGAGATTTAAAATCACGCTCCTCTTGAGCTCCATGTGCATTTGCGCTTGCTTCTTTCTCTGCCTCTTGGTTGTTTCAAGGTACCAGGCATGAGTTCCCACACAGCACACCCTCGACCTCTCCTGGTCACACTCTGTCATGAGTCACAACCTTGATTGTGAACACAGCAAAGAGCAGGGCTCTCAGGGAGGAAGACAGTGCCTGATCCAGTGTCCACTACTTCAAGAAATGGGCATAAGGTGGCAGCACTGGTAGCACCTGCAGGTGTCTTGGAGAGGAAGCTTGGCCAAGGGCCAGCTGCACTTGAGCTGCTAAGTCCCAGGGAGAAAATGGAAAAAAAGAACTCTGCTAAAGTCCTCCTTACTAGAGTAGTCAGTAACGGGAGGAGAAAGGCTTCTCGTAGGGGAACGACGGTAGTCAGGAACTCCACTGGGAGGAGTGGGTGAGAGGGTCACATTGCTGTCTGGCACCCACACATCTGTTGGAAGAATGCTACCACTTATGAGAAAGGATTGAGACAGGTGAACAACATGGATGAAACTTGAAAACAGTATGCTAAATGAAAGAAACCAGTCACAAAAGACTGCATATTATATGACTCCATTTTTAAAAAATGTCCATGAATACACAAATCTGTAGAAATGGAAAGTAGATATTTTTCTTTCTTTTCTTTTCTTTTTTTTTTTTTTTTTTTTGAGATGGAATCTTACTCTGTTACCCACGCTGGAGTGCAGTCTTGCGATCTCTGCCCATTGCAACCTCTACCTCTTGGGTTCGTGCAATTCTCCTGCCTCAACCTCCCAAGTAATCGAGATTACAGGTGCCTGCCACTAGACCTGGCTAATTTTTGTATTTTCAGTAGAGATGGGGTTTCACCATGTTGGCCGGGCTAGTCTCAAACTTCTGACTTCAGGTGATCTGCCCACCTCGGCCTCCCAAAGTGCTGGGATTACAGGTGTAAGCCATCACCCCTGGCGTACAGAAAGTAGATTAATGGTTGCCTAGGGCTTGAAGCTGGGGAGAATGGGGAGAGGAGGCTAAAGGGTATGGAGTTTCTTTTCAGGATGATGAGATGTTCTAAAATTGATTGTGGTGATG